>NC_000012.12:72914673-73066188 GCF_000001405.40 Homo sapiens
CATTAATACCATAATTTCCCTTGAATAAATATAAAATCCATTTGTATTAAATATAAATTTCAAAGTTTCATGATATATATTTGTTTTTTATAGAAATTAAGAATTGAATGATCTTGTCTGTAATTCTTGTACTGCAGTTCAGAAATAGCTTCCCAAATTATTATCTTCTTAATTACTTTTGAATGGGCATTGCATGCAAATTATAAAAACTTAAATATATTGAAATGTAAGATTTTATTTCACTTTTCTTCCTGGGCCAACCTCTTCCCCCAGAGCAATTCTTTTTTGCTTTTGCTTTTTTCAGTTTCTGAGATATCCCACATATCTTTATATAGTTTTGCTTAAATATTTGACACGTTAGTCTTTCCACACACATTGTTTTGCATCTTTCTTTTATTACTCAACACTGCATCTTACTAATCATTCTGTATTAGTACATAAAACTTTTAGCAGCAAGATAGGACTCCATAATTTATTTAACCAGTTCTAATGGATCGATATTTAAACTTGTTTCCTTTTTTAAACCATTATAAACAATGCTGAAAATATAATTGTACATACATCTTTAAATACATCTATACAATGATTTCTAAAAGACAAACTTCTGGTCAAAGACATATGAATTCATAATTTAACAAATGACTACAAATTACCATCCAGAGAGGCTTTACCTTTATATTTTCACAAGCAATATGTGAGAGAGCCTATTTCAAAAAACAATGGGTCAAAATACAGTGTTTTACAATTTTTGATCTTAGCCAATGTGACAAGTAAAAATATGAAACATCACTGAAGCTTCAGTTTGCATTTATGTGTTTAGTGTGATTGAGATTGTTTTATGTTCACTCATGCTTAAATGCCATAGTATTTTCTCTTCTGGAAGCTGTGTGTTCACATCCTATACTGATTGTAAATATTGAAAGCTTAAAAATGGATTTGTGCATCTGCAAAATTGGTGAATTATTTACAAGCATCTATTTCCCACTAGGTCCGCATTTCCATTATTCACATATCTTTCATAGTTGGTTAAGTACCCTTTTGTTGCTTACTGAAGCAAATAATAAAATCAGTTTTGAGTTTGGAAAGATAACTTATGGAAAATATATTTCACCACAGCAGTATCTGATTCCAGTGGCTGAGAAAAAGATAATTTAATAGCAAATACATAATTACATATTAAAATTCAAAAAATAGGAAAAAGGTACCATTCTAATGGCAATTAAATAATTTCTATAGTTCCAGAATACAACACATACATATGACGTTACACTTGTTTTAATTACTTTCCCCTGAGGTTTGCTTGGTAAAGGTACACGTAAAGGTGGGGCTTCTAAATTAGAAATAGATTCTCATGAATAAGTATACCATTTATTTGCTACAACTGGGAAAAAAAAAGCAGCATGTCTGAAAGCTGCCTACTTCAAGTTCTGGACAAGAGTAATGGTATGGAAGAAAAAGTATATCTAATTTTGAATAATATGCCTGTGGAACTTTTCAGCAGGATCTAGTCACCATCTCTTTGATATATTCTCTGAGCTTTTTTGGACAAGTTTTACAAAAAAAAAAAAATGAATAGAGGGCTTAAACCCCAACACATAACTATTGCTTTTCTCTGCTTTCTATCAGTTTAGCCTAGAAGTTAATATTGTGTATTATTAAACACTGAAATATAAAATAAAATATTTTTATGATTTATGCTTTTCTGTATTTTGTTACACTAGAACATTAATATTAAAAATCAGAGGCTTA
Source organism: Homo sapiens (assembly GCF_000001405.40). Taxonomy (NCBI): domain Eukaryota; kingdom Metazoa; phylum Chordata; class Mammalia; order Primates; family Hominidae; genus Homo; species Homo sapiens. Next base: position 72,916,423 of record NC_000012.12, read on the forward strand.
TTTCTCACTTAGACTTCGAAAATTTATATCATTTAAATTTTTATATTGTGGCTATTTAATTATAAGACAAAAAATTCCACTTGAAATATGTGTTAAATCCTTCTTTCTCTAAACCTTTTCTCCAAAACCATTTTAAAAAAGATATTCTGACTCTTGTGTATGCAAAAAAAAATTCCAGATTAAAACAAATGGTTTTTAGTTAGTTTGTTGGTGCTAGATATAAATCATCTATGACAACAACAAAAACATAAGACAAACTCGTTTGGAATATTAGTCACATTCATCTAAGAGTATGAAGAAAATCCTAAGTCTCTCATTATGTTGCAATGATTCAGGAAAAGAAAGAGAAAAGCGAAATGAAACCTGAAAAAATAAACTCTTATGCATGAGCATAACTATTTATATTAAAGATATCTCCTCTTATGGAATAAAAGATACTCTTATGGAGCATCTTTTATTATTTTCAAATTTTCCCCAGGGCTGGGTTCAGTGACTCACGTCTATAATCCCAGCCCTTTGGGAAACTGAAGCAGGCAGATAACTTGAGGTCAGGAGTACGAGACCAGCCTGGCCGGCCAACATGCCGAAACCCCTTCTCTACTAAAAATACAAAAATTAGCCGGGTGTGGTGGTGCATGCTTGTAATCTCAGCTATTTGGAAGGCTGAGGCATGAGAATTGCTTGAACCTGGGAGGTAGAGGTTACAGTGAGCTGAGATCGTGCCACTGCACATCTGCCTGGGCGACAGAGCAAGAACCTGTCTCAAAAAGAAAAGAAAAGAAACTTTCCCCAGAAAATATTATACGATAACCCACAAATAAATACTATATTATTCAATTTTTTACTAGATCCTCAGTATTTACTAGACCCTAAGTCAATAAATACTTGCCAAATAAATAAATACAAAAAAAAATGCTTTCTAAATTACCAATCTTAACTAGATATACAAACAAAAAGACAAAGAATGAAGGGATCCTATGGTGAGGTCATCTCTTACTAGATAAGAATCTCCATCGTATTAAACATCTATTATACTAAAAACCAAGTTGGTATTAGGAATAGCAAGCTTAGTTGGGGAAATAAAGAAAAATAAAGAACATTTAGAGAATAAAGGAATATAGCAAAAAGATGTCATGGTCTGTGGAGATTAAAAGGCTTAGGTTTCAAATCTGACTATGCCATACTAGCTGTGTAGCCTTAGGCAAGTTTCTTCATCTCCCTCACCCCTTGTATCTTTATCTTTAAAATAGTTATAAAGTGTAATCTATTTCATGCATGTGGCAAAGGCATATACTGAACACCTGCCTCAACCCCTTGCAGCTGGGTGAGGCTATATGTATAGCTCTGGATAAAGGACTAGGAGTGAAGGTGATGTGTGTCACTTCCATACAGAAAAATGTAAGAGCCAGTGGGCAATCCTCCTTCACTCTTTCTTTCATTAATTTTAATTTAGTGTTTAGCAAACTTTTTCTGTAAAGGGACAGGGAGTAAACAGTTTGAGCTTTGCATGCTCTATGTTCTTTGTTGCTACTACTCAACTCTGCCTTTACGATGCATAAAATGCAAATTCATTACCTAAAAGCAATCATAGAGTATATGTAAAGAATGAGTATTGTTGTTTTCCAGTAAAACTTTATTTACAAAATTAGGTGGTGGGTTAGAATTGGCCCAAAAGCCATAATTTGCTGTCTTCTCTATTCAATCAATACCATATTGATTGTGATGAAGAAGTGATGAAAGAAAAGAGTTTAGTTGAATCAAGTTTAATTCACATGCATTGACAGAGCATATTTATGTGCTTGGAACTCTGGTATTTGCTATAGGAAAGAAATTTATGTATATTGAGCATTTTTTATGTGGCAAGCGATCTGATACATTTTTCACATAAATACTTAATTGCATTTAATCTTTATAGCCTGGAATTTTTCAGATAAGATCTTGAGACCCAAAGGAATTAAGTGAGGAACCCAAGTTAATACTGTTAGTAATTCTGAAATAAGGGATTAGAATACCATCCTATCGGACCCCAAATTCTGAGTTCTTTCATGTTCATTAAACTGTTATATTGAATAACCATGACTCAGAGTGTAATCATAAAGATGTTTTCTCCTCACAGTTGCATCTACAAAACCCAAGAGCTGTTATTTTTCTCTCATATAATAAATTTGGGGAGGTAGCCTGGGTGGATTATCTATTCACTCTAAGATAATAATAATATTTAAAAATCCTCTTATCACTTTAGTCTCTCAAATAGTCTCAGTTCAGTAATTAACATATCCTCATAATAATATTGTTATAATGTAATAATAAAATTACAGTGTAATAATAAAATCTCTGACTATCAAAGTGAAATATTTGCCTCAACCTTAGTTCAAGTCTGCTGAGTAGGAAAAGTGCATCTGGAAAGAGGATAGTGGGTAGGTGGGGAGACACTTCTTTCCTTTTTACCTTCCCAGATCCTTTTCACTGTACCCAATACCTCTTCAGCTAAAAAGAGGCAGATTTTTTCTGCTGGAGATGTGGGAATTGCTCTCATCTGCAGTTCTGTTTTCTCCACTGAATATGCCTCCGGCTGATCCCTTAACCTCCCTCAAGCCTCCTTCTGCCAAGGTGTGCTTCTTCCTCCTGATGATCTTCTTGAGCAGAATCTAAAATAACTTCAAGTTCTCTCTCTTTTTCTCACAGACATGATACTTATGGCCCACCTCAGGGTTTCTCAAGCTCTAGAGGTCTGTTTAAAGTAATTTGCATTGGTATTGAGGGGAGGTAGACGTGTCCCTCTCTCCCTATATCTCTCATCAGCCTCAAACTCCTGGCTGTTTCAATTTTCTAAGATTTGCAAAAACAATATACAACTACCCTCTCAGCTGTCCCTGCCTAGCGGTCAAACACCTCCCTATGAAATGTGGGCGAAATTAGTGTCTATTATTCTAGAGAAGCTATAGAAACTTTTTAACAGTCTTATAGAAAAGCCTAAAATACTCTATTTTTCCTAAGACACTTGCAGTATGGTTGTGAATACAAAGCTAATACTCTAGAAATATTTGCAAGATTTTTATGGATCGGAAGAGACTTAAGGGTCAATAATTTCATTCCTTAGCTGAACTGATGAATATTTACTAAGTGTCTAATATTTGGAAAGTGCTGGGCTAGGGCTTAAATAAAACTGAAACCAAATGCAGATATCATTACAGTCACTACTTGAATCTCTCTGATTTGGGAGAATTTACTACACCTTCAAAAGTCCCATTTTCATTGTTTTTGTAAATCTTGGGGTCTCCATGTTATTTTAAATAAATATGCCTTCCTGGCAGAGCAATATCAGTCTTTAAAGAATGGAATAAATTACAGAATTCCAATGTTGAAGACAGGCTTACAGTTCCTTCCATCATTCTGACTTTCTATCATTTGCTCTTAGTTCCTTTTATGACATTGTTACCAGTAGAACGAACCCGAGTTACCCTGAGTTACTGTCTGCGTATCAGTGCGGGTCCGCAGCAAAGTCAGTCCTCCCCTCCTCAGAAGAAATAAGTCGACTGAGGGGCCTGAGACAGGAGAGACCGAGGTAAGTTTCAGAGCAGTAGTGGAAGTTTATTTAAAAAGGCTTTAGAACTGCAAGAAAAGGAAAGAAAAGAAGGAAAGTACAACTTGGAAGGGGACCAAGCAGGTGACTTGAGAAACTAAACGCACAGCTTGACCTCTTGACTTGGGGTTTTCTGCGTTGACATACTTCCAGGATCTTGCATTACTTCTTCCCATGCCTGAGATCTCATTGGGAAGCTGCTGATCAGTTTCAGGTGTTTTCTATCTACTAGGAGACAGCCTTTCCCTGGCGCTGGCAGTGATCAATTATTACTTTACTGTTTATTTATTTATTTATTTGAGATGGAGTTTCCCTCTTGTTGCCCAGGCTGGAGTGCAATGGCCCGATCTTGGTTCACGGCAACTTCCGCCTCCCAGGTTCAAGTGATTCTCCTGCCTCAGCCTCCCAAATAGCTGGGATTACAGGCGCCCACCACCACGTCAGGCTAATTTTTCTATTTTTGGTAGAGACGGGGTTTCACCATGTTGGTCAGGCTGGTCTGGAACTCCTGACCTCAGGTGAGCCACCCGCCTCCGCCTCCCAAAGTGCTGGGATTGCAGGCGTGAGCCAAAGTGCCCGGCCCAATTATTACTTTAGAGAAACAGTTAACAACCGCCTGACCCTCACCTGATGGTCGCCCAACACTCCTGGTGTGTAGGGGAAGCCCTCTCCTGCCCTGCTCATACTTGACTAGCTTGACTAGCTACCTACTGTAACAACATGTGTAACAGGGGTGCATGTCACTACTCTCTAATTGTACTGAAGTACAAAGGCTTGGAGCTCTCTTTTAGAGATCACCCTTAATTATACTGTGGGTGAAAAGAAAGCATCCTGCATTTTCTGAAACTTCCACATAGCTTGGGCTATTTATTTTTATTTTTATTTATTTATTTTATTTTATTATTTATTTTTGAGACGGAGTCTCGCACTGTTGCAGATTGGGCTGTTTCTTAATGTTGACTTTGCATCTTTGTGTGTAATCTTCTCAGGTTCAGTTCCTTATCTCTGGCTTTCTTGATTTTCATCAACATCATATGCATTGTTACCAAATACACCAAAATGGTTTTCACATGATAAATATTTTTAAATGAATAACTGAGATTACAAAAGTAAGGAAAACTCACAGGGCACTGGAAAGTAGAAAATGATAAAGTGAAACTAAAATGGTGGGGAATGCAAATTGGCAAAGCCACTTTAGAGAATGATTTGGCAATATCTAGTGAAGGAAAAAAATGACTCTGTGGTCCAGCAATTTCTTTCTTAGGTATATACCATAAAGATATGCTCAAATATGTGTACAAAGAGATATGTAAAATATCCTAGCAGCATTGTTCATGACTGGAAAAAACAAACAAACAAACAACAACAACAAAATTCAAGGCCAGTCTAATGTCCATGATAGAATGGATTTTAAATTGTGCTATATTTGTATACTGGTGTACTATTCAGCAATAACAATGAATGAATTAGATTGAATAATACAAGTATAAATAAAATTTACAACTATAATCTATAATGTATAAAGCAAATTGTAGAAGAATATAAAATGTTAAAAAATAAGCAGAAAGGTACTATATTTTGTTTAGGTAGACATGCATATGTAAAAAATGTATTAAAAATGTGATATATGAAATTCTGATAATCACATAAAAAACTGAAAATTAATCATCCAAGGGAGGGAGGGAGCAAATAGGAGAGACATGGTAAATGAAGGCAGGAGTAGGAGTAAACTTTATATATTATTTATATGTTTAATTGTAAACCATGTGAGTATATTACTACTCAAAAATGCATAGAAATTATTAGTGACTAAACTCAAGATGGTAGAGAAAAAAGAGAATGTGATTGGTTGGAAATACAAAGGATACAACAATTATATTTATAAGCATTTAGTATATTAATCTGAATGATGAATACAAATTCTTTATTATTCTGTATACCCTTTGCACATCTGAAACATAATATTATAAAATAAAACCTTAGCTTTCAAAGCCATTGTTTCTGTTAAGGGCTTGACAATCCAAATTTGGGGGTCAACAAATAAGCATTGACTTTTCATTCTTCTTTGTAACTATACTATAATAATCTCAATTTATGTCAAGGAAGTGTGGATGACTCTAACTTTTGGAAAAACAAATTAGCAGGTAGTATAAAGTGTGAAAAAGAAAAACAGATTAATGTTTCAAGATATTATTTGACCTCTTTTACACATCCCTTACTACTGTTGACACACTTGACTTTGATATATTTCTTAAATATTTCTTTTCAGAAGTAATCAAATTAAGAGGAAACCTTTTGATGATAGTGTTTGTTATCTCTGTATTCATCTATTTATCATAAAGATGATCTAATATTCTATTTTTATAAATACAGTGTTGATTGTATAATACTTCTGAGCAATGCTAATATAGTTTAACCTTAAAAAATGAAACCTGACATCATAAAACTCAATATTAGTATTGCTTCCACTTTTTAGAGCTTGATTTTGGCAGGCCAATTTTTTTTCAAATGTTGGTTTTCTTATCTTTAGAATGAATGGAGTTCTATGAGAAAGAGCATTGTGAGAATTACATCAAATTAAAATATTAATAATAAATTTTCAGTGTATATAAAATGACTTATTGTCTGGAACAAAATAGTTATTTAAAAATCAATCATTCCATTAGACATTAAAAATAAGCATAAGTATGCCTACATTTGTGATTATTCTGGATGTTCTTATAAGGTCTCTGGATCATGATTATCACTCCGTAGTACATGGATATAGTTATATGAACAAAGAAGGTAGAATATATTTGGATATATATATATATATCCCAGACATGTTTAAATATTTTAGTAATAAATCTGTAATATGAGCTAATTTTCAAAAAATTTTGTCAATGTCTTCCAAAACTAATTTAGAGAAATAAAGAAATGAAAAATTCTAAAACAAATCAAAAGCCCATTTAATTAACAGTTTCACAAAGTTGTATTATAGTTCCTTTTTAATAAGTATATATTTAAACTTTTTATGGCATACATATATAAACTAATTTATATAAATGAGCATTATGTATTCATATATTAAAATATAAATGTATAAAATAAGCACAACTATACAAACATGTTTGTACAGATATATATATACACAAACACATGTGAAAGTATGAATATAACAACAAAAATATAAATTAGGGAGTAAACCTTTGCTTTATAAGAGATCTCAACATATTATTTTTTAAAACTGTAATTACTCTTACAATTATTTTGCACAATTTCTAAGGTCAAGTCTTACATAAAATGAGTAACACTAATAATGTTTCTTAGGTGTTATAATTAACAAGATGAGTTTCACTTATAGTAAAAAAGAGTACAAAGAAAGAAACTAAGGCCTATACATTAAACTTTCATTTAAAAAATATTTGACAGAAATTCCATAAGAAATGAAAAATAACAATTATTTTGGCTTGAATTTTTTCTATTTGAGTGAACAAATAGTGATGTATTATACTCAACATCCACATATTAAAATAATCCAAACCTAGTATTTCAGGAGGAAATTTTAGCAGTGTTTCCACTGTAAGACACCTTAGATTGAGAAGAAAAGAAAACTTATCTTGGTACCTGCTGAGTATGTTTTAATCCCATAGCCCATGATGCATTTCTCTTATCCTGACAAATAGGTAGCAGTGCTATTTTTTGTTCTTAGCATATAGTCAGCTTCTTTTGAAATTCAGTCATATATTGGATATGCTGACCCCCTGCCATAGTGAATTCCACAGGCAGGAGCTCCATAGGATGAAAAGTGCTATTCAACTAGAGGGGTTCATGAAGAAAGTCAAAGTCTCTCAAATTAATTTCTCAAAATGCCCTAAGCCCCAGCCATCTCCCCTTCGATGTTCTTTGCAGCTGCTTAGCACTTCTGGACTAGTTGAGCCTGAGTGAGTTGGCTGCCTCCCCCTATGGCAATATTTCTTTTTCAAAGGGTAGTTGCCATGGTTGTATAATTTTGTGCAGGGAGTAGGAGACTTTGTGATTGGCCAAACTGTGCTGAAAAAGATAACAAACACAAAAACTACAAGTTTAAACTGAGGAAAACTTTGTCAAACTCTCAGTGGAGAGTGGAAGAAAGAATGCTTTCCACATTAAAAATATCTTGCATTTTTTAACATTGTTGAACTGCAAGGGGCTTAGGATACTTAATGGGTCTTACTAAATTTGGTTAGACCTCCCCAGCCTCCTAGTGAGCACATGGAAAACAGAAGCATATAGAGAGAGCACAAATTTAAGAAACACAAGAATGGACTAAAATTCTTGGCTCATTTACTGTCACACCTTGGATTGTGTAAATGATTGGTACCTTTTGGAGCCTCCCTTTGCTCTAGGTTAATGCATCATCATTCATCTTAATATACTCATTACTATCCTCTATCTCTTGTGTCAGGCAATTCTTGCCACCTAGAATTTCCTCTCAAAATCCTATGTCTGAGCAAAGCTTTGGACCCAAATCTCCTATGATATCCTTGTTAATAAAATAGTAAAATTATGATTGGCTAAGGGTAGTATTGGACAGATTCAAATTGTATTCAACAATGTTGCTCAGCAAGACCTGTATATGCTGAGGCCCCTATTGTCAAGTACTTTGGTAGGTGCTTTTGCTTACATTATCTCAATTAATTTTTTTGGTATGCATGTTATTTGACTAACCAATTTATCTTATTTGTTACTAAAATGTTTCTGGTTTTGTTCAAGGTTTCACTGTTCCTAGCTAAAATTCCAGGCTCTGTTGCATCTTGTTATGTTAATATGACACAGTTCTGGCTAATAACATGGAGATGTAAGTCCCTGAGAGAAGGCTTCCTTTCAGAAATTTGTCTTCAGAAATAAAAAAGGCAGACCCCTGTGAAGGTAAGGTTTTGTCTTTTGTCCTTAATTGTTTTCTTATCCCTTCTTCCCAACTGGGACAATGTATGATAGTGATAAGGAGAAGGAGCAGCCATCTTTGACTAGACCACATAATAAGGAGGTCAGAGTAGAAAGATACTCTAAACTTAAATTTTGGATGGTGTTTTGGGGTATTTCAAGCGGCCCTGAGCTCTCTACCTCCAGCATTTTTATTAAATGAAAAATGTAATCCTATTTATATAAGTCATTTTTGGTCAAGCTTTCTGCTACTCCCAGTGTAATCATTACTTACCACACAACGTAAGAACTCTGAGCTATGTGGTAATATCCCACAGCTAGGGAGTAGGAAAAGGAGGTAGAATTTAAAGCTCTCCTTGCAATTTTAATTCCCATTTTATATTGATTCACTTGTTAATGGTCTTATATGGCCTAATATTTCTGTTAGTGATTTAAATAAAGAGATCAAAGAGTTAGATATCAGATGTGCTGTTTCCCAAAGCCTGAATGATAGCTAATATACTATAATCTGAGACTGCAACTGTCTTGACATATTTGATTTCCTGTGTCAAGATTTTCAACATTTGTTGAATTATATTAAAATAATTCATAGTTTGATAACTTTATTAGAATCCAAGTGGTGATATTGAGAAGGTAGTTGGATACAGTAGTATGGAATTCAGAAGGGAGATCTGGTATAAACTTATTTATCAATGGCATATAGATAGTATTTTATGCCATGTGACTTGATGAGATTGCAAAGGACGAAAGAAAGTGTAGATAGTAAATGGAATAGAATTAGAGATTGAAGCCTGGGCTTTCATAATAATATTGTTGAGAAGACTAATGTTAAGAGAAGGAACAATCAATGACTGTAATATCCAGAAAAAAAAAAACAAGTGATGGAACTATGTAATCTGTGGTTTCAAATACAGTCATATGCCACATAAGGACATTTGCGTCAACAACAGACTGCTATACGATCATGGTTCCATAGATTATAATGGAGCTGAAAAATTCCTATCACCTAGTTACATCATAGCTGTCAGAATGTCATAGCACAACACATTGCTCACATGCTTGTGGTGTAATGTGCTGGCATAAATAAACCTAGTGTGCTGCCAGTCATATAAAAATATAGCACATATAATTTTGTACAATACATAATACTTGATATAATAAGAAATGACTATGTTACTGGTTTATGCATTTACCATACTGTACTTTTTATGGCTAGAGTGTACTCCCTCCACTTTTTTAAAACAATAAACTTAACTGTAAAAAAACTTCTGGCAGGTCTATCAGGAGGTGTTTCAGAATAAGACATTGTTTTCATAGGAGAAGATAGCTCCATGCATGTTTTTCACCCTTAATACTTTCCAATGGGACAAGATGTGGAGGTAGAAGGCAGTAATATCTTAATCCTTTGGAAACCTAGGCTAATATGTGTGATTGTATCTTAGATTTTAACAAAATATAAAAATTAAAAAAATCTTTAAAAATGGAAAGAAAGTTTATAGAATAAGGATGTGAAGAAAAAATAGTTTTGCACAGCTGTACAATGTGTTTTAAATTAAGTATTTCTACAAAAACTTAAAAAGTAAAAACATATAAAGTAAAAAGTTACAGTAAACTAAGGTTCATTTATTATTTAAAAATAAAATATTTTAATAAATTTATGTAGACTAACAGTGCAGTGTTTATAAAGCCTACAGTAGTATACAGTAATGTCCTAGGCCTTCACACTCACACCACTCCCTCACTGATTCATCCAGAGCAACTTCTATTTCTGCAAGCTACATTCATGGTAAGTGCTCTACATAGGTGTATCTTTTTAAATATTTTATACTGCATTTTTGCGCTTTTTTAGATTTAGATATCCTTAGCCATGCAAATAGTCATTGTGTTACAGTTGCTTACAGAATTCAGTACAGTAACATGCTGTACAGGTTTATAGCCACAGAGCTATAAGAATATCATATATCCCAGGTATATAGTAGGCTCTACTATCCAGGTTTGTGTAAGTGCACTCTATGATATGTGCACAATGAGATTGCCTAATGATGTGCTTCTTAGAGTGTATTCCTGTTGCTAATCAATGCATGTCTATACTGTTAATTTGCCAAGTAAAGTAAAACATTGAATTGACTATTGGATTTGACCACATGTAGAATTTTGGTAGGGATAGCATCCATCCTAGTGCACCTTTGACACTTTCAGTTTGTTGCCTTGTTTTAATTAATAATAATGCCACTTTTCATTCTTAAGTATCATAGTTCAAATGATAAATTATATGGTCATCCTAAGCCACTGATGATCTTTAGAAAGATAGTTTCAGTGGAATTCTGTGAGCAAAATACTGGTTGGAATGTATGTAAGAACAAAGGAAGAAAGAGTGGGAGACGGCAAAGATGCAAAAAGCTTTTTGCTGCAAAGTTTTGCAGAGAAATGGGATGAAAGCTGGAATGAGAATTAAACAATGTAATTATGTACCCAAGGGATTCAGTTGATAGTGAAAAATTATTGATGTAAGAGAGAGGAAAAATGTCCTGGAGTAACTGAGAAGGGATTCAACCTCTGTTTAAGGGAGGGAATGGTTTAGAATAGATAAAAATCAAGATACCACTCTCCAAGCGTATTTTGCATTTCTGCATGTTTTGTGAATGAAGCACTAATGGCCTTGTATTCTGGAGCATGTTTATAGAATGTTTATATAATCAGCAGGCATTGAAGAGAGAGAGAGTTTCTTTGTAGCAAAGGACAGGTTGGCTTACATCCCTGGAAGACAGAGATATCATCTTCCTCTGAAGCAAATGGCAGGTATATTTACTGCCCTTTATAAGAAATTAGAGATCCCTAAGCTTAGATGTGTCCTCCTGTAATGTAACCCACTACATGGTCAGTTGTCATATGCCCCTTTCATATTGCCTGTAAGAATTGGGACTTGGATAACCGGAGTAAAAAAAATACTCTGACTATTGTTGTTGCTGTGGGTAATAAACTGCTTTACATTTCTGATCCAGGAATTATGTGTCTTCTACCACTGTCCACTAATGTTTTTTTGTGGATAAATTTAAGGGGTACAAGTGAAATTTTGTTACATGAGTATAGTGCATAGTGGTGAATTCTGGCCTTTAGTGCCTCCATTGCCCAAACAATGTACATGAAGTAATTTCCCATCATTCACTCCCTACTCCTCCGAATCTCCAAAGCCTATCATTCCATATTCTATGTCCATGTATACACATTATTTAGCTGCCACTTATAAGTGAGAACATGTGTTTGATTTTCTGTTTCTGGGTTGTTTCATTTAAGATAATGGCCTCCAGTTCCATCCATGTTGCTGTAAAAGACATGATTTTATTATTTTGTATAGTTGGATAGTATCCCATTGTGTATACATACTACATTTTCTTTATCTAGGCTTTCACTGATGGGTGCTTAAGTTGATTCCATATCCTTGCTATTGTGAATGCATAGGCTTGCAATGATCATATGAATGCCAGTATCTTTTTATATACTGATTTCTTTTTCTTTGAGTTAGATACCCAGTAGTGGTATTGAGGGATAGAATGGTAGTTCTGTTTTTAGTTTTTTGAGAACTCTCCATACTGTTTTTCGTAGAAGTTGTACTAATTTACATTCTCACCAACAATGCACAAGTATTAACCTTTTCTCCACATGCTTACCAACATCTGTTATTTTTTAACTTTTTAAAACCCATTCTGACTGGTGTAAGATATCTCATTGTGGTTTTAATTTTCATTTCTCTGATGATTATTGATGTTGAGCATTTTTTCATATGCTTGTCGGCCATTTGTATTTCTTCTCTTGCAAAATGTCTATTCCTGTATTTTACCCACTATTTATGAATCCTGTGGGGGAACTTGTTGCTTGGTAGTAGGGTAAGATCTCAGATCCTTCACCGTTCTCAATAATAAGATCTTAGATAATCTAGGATAATGGATACTATGCATTTTTATCTTATTATTTTACATAAAATTAATACAAATTTTTATAGGTTTTATTATATGTAGGTTTTATATAATCAAATGTATCAATCTAGTCTTTTAGCAATTGTGGATTTTATGGCTTGCTTAGAAGGATTTCTTAAAATCTTCTTATAGATGAATAAGACTGGACTTTATTCTATTATTATCTCTTATAGTTAATTTTTAAAGGTAAAGTTAATTTTGAATTCACATAAAATGTTATTTTTATATGAATTTTTTCCTAAATTATAGCTACTTTATCTCAAAACCACTAAAATTGATCCTTATCTGATTATCTGAAATGTCTTTCTCATAATATATTAAATCCCTAATGTAGAGATTTGTGTTAGATTATTCTTATTCATGTATATAATTTTTAATTGATACATGAATATATTTAATCCTTTTTTTCAACACATGTTTAGTTAGCACCTGCTATGTGCTACACACTGTGGCATTCGCTATTACATAGTGGTTAAAAAATAGGCATAGTTCCTGCTCCATTGAAAACCTCAGCCTAGCTGTAAACATAAATACCTAAAAAATCATCAAATAAATATATTATTTAAAAGTATGGTAAGTGCTAGGAATACAATTAAAAAATTCTTTGGTAGAATATTGAGGTAAGTGGGAAACCTATAAATGTCAGTGTTCTCTGAGGAGGATATAATTTCAGCCTACACCCAGAGTATAACAATTGAGCATCATAAAAATGAGTGGAAGAGTATTCTAAGCTGGTGGAACAGCATGCTCATAGATAAAAGTTGTTTCAGAAAAGGGTCATGCAATGCCTTTTGCTTACCAACCAACAAATCTGCCATATAGAGTTTAATCTTTTGATTAACCAAATTCAAGTCAACCAATTACATTATATATCTTATAATGTTGATATATTTTCAAAACGTAAATTTTCTTTTAGAATTAAGGCCAAATTATTGTATGTATGGTAGAAGTCATCAACAACTACTCTATTGGAAATAACTAATATAATCCACGTTTGTTGCTAGAAATTGATTTTTGGAGTGGACTCAAATGCCTAACTCTCAAGAAGTTCTAAAACCAGAAGGATTTTTTTTGCTTAGGAGTCTGAATGAAACTTTTAAAGTCTTGCAGGTGTTTGCTGTCAGAATGAGGATAAGTCAATATGTGACAGAGCAGAACAATGAATACTGTGAAAGGCACAATAGCGGGCCAGAGCCCTGATACATGTGGCCTGAAGCCTGCCAAAGTCTTGGGCTGAATTTTAAGTTCAGCAATGCATTTTTGTAAGTTAAATTACTTTAAATTGAAGTTTTCTGGTTTTACTGAGCTAAATGCATTATAATACTAATTAGAATATTTTCAACTTAAATTTGAAGCCTGAAAGGTGAGAAACATCGGCCAATGGCTTCAAAACTCCCACTCTTCTTGGCACAAAACAAACATATCTTTATAACATTTCTTGAAATTATTTGATAACAACTTTGGAGTTGCTTCTTAGGTATGCATAGCAAGGTGGTATTGGGCATCACACTTCTGAAGTCACATCCCTTTACTCTCCTGTGTATAAGCTCTGGAAATGAAGTAGACCTAAAGTAGTTCTATAGTAAAATTAAGTTCACTAAGAAACTGGGACTTATGGTGGAGAGTGGCATCAAGCTGAGGTACACAATTTAGAGTCCTTCCTTTCCTGTGCTCTTGCCCTGTATCCATATCCCAAGATTTGGGCTCTCCTTGTGCTTGTTGCTGAGTGGGAGTCTGTATTGTTTTACAACCCCACTATCATTAATTGCCTGGCCACAAATATATTCTAATACTACCTTTATTGTAACTTTTGTTAGACTTTTTTCTAGTGTTAATGCTTACCAGGAGATTAGATGTCTTCCTTCTTGTGTGCCCCCTCCTGTAGGGTTATATTTCTATCTTGCATGGCTATAGAGGTATAGAAAGAATACTAATTATTAAAATTCATATTATATCGCATTTTCATATTTTTATATTTAAAAGATACACTGATAATCATGTCAATCTATTACTTTTCTTTGGAAGAAATAATTTTTTGACTATATGACAGTTTTTTTAAACACAGATAAAAAATGTTTCATTATTCTTAAACTGTGCCTGCAAACCATTGCTAAAGCAAAATAGAAGCTTTCTCCTTTGTATAGTACAATTTTATTGTATCTAATTTAGATGTGGAAAAATGTTAATTAATCTTAATTAATGCAGCTGTTGAAATGAGGGATACCTGTTAGCCAGAGTGGCCTGAGAGGTGCCTTTATTTCATGAAACAGAAGACTTTGGTAGCTACAATCCACTTACCACTTTTTAAATTATTATTTTCAGTTTTTAAATTTCTAAATTTTTATTTATGAGGTTATATGCTAGGTATATATATATTTCTGGAGTACATGGTGTATTTTGATATGGGCATACAGTGAGTAACAATCACATCAGGGTAAATGTGATACCCATTACTTCAAGCATTTATTCTTTGTGTTATGAACAATCCAATAATATTCTTAATAATATTCTTAGTTATTTAAAAATATATACTAAATATTATTAACTATAGCCTCCCTGCTGCACTATCAAATTCTAGATTTTATTCATTATATCTATTTTTTATATCCAGCAACCATCTCTACTTCTTACCCCCACTACTCTTCCCAGCCTCTGGTAACCATCATTCTACTCTGTCATCATTAGTTGAATTATTTCAATATTTTGCCCCCACAAATAAGTGAGAATGTGTGAAGTTTGTCTTTCTCTGTGTGGCTAATTTCACTTAAGCTAGTGACTTCCAGTTCCATCCATTTTGTTGCAAATGACAGGGTCTCATTCTTTATCGGGGGAACCAGCCCCCAAAATTTCAATGTAGGTTCTTTTCTATTTTCCCTAAGTGTCGGCCGGTCTGAGAAATAAAGAGAAAGAGTACAAAGAGAGAAATTTTACAGCTGGGCTTCCGGGGATGCCATCGCATATTGGTGGGACGATGATGATGACCCCGAGCCGAAAAACCAGCAAGTTTTTATTAGGGATTTTAAAAGGGGAGGGGGTGTACAAACAGAGTAGGTCACAAGAATTACTGATGAGGGTCTATGCCCCACTGTGTATGCATTGTCTTGATAAACATCTTAACAGGAAACAGGTTTTGAGAGCAGACAACTGGTCTGACTAGAATTTACCAGGCTGGAATTTCCCAGTCCTAGCAAGCCTGAGGGTACTGCAGGAGACCAGGGCATATTTCAGTCCTTATCTCAACCGCATAAGACAGACACTCCCAGAGCGGCCTTCTATAGATCTACCCCCAGGAATGCATTCCTTCCCCAGGGTTATCAATTATTAATATTCCTTGCTGGGAAAATAATTCAGCGATATTTCTCCTACTCACACGTCCATCTATAGGCTCTCTGCAACAAGAAAAATATGGCTCTATTCTGCCTGACCCTGCAGGCAGTCAGACCTTATGGTTATCTTCCCTTGTTCTCTGAAAATTTCTGTTATTCTGTTCTTTATCAGTGTGCATTGATTTTATATTGTCCAAATACACATATTTTACAATCAATTTGTACAATAGTGGTCCAGAGGTGACATATATTCTCAGCTTACGAATATAACAGGATTGAGAGATTAAAGTAAAGACAGGCATAAGAAATTATAAGAGTATTGATTGGAGAAATGATAAATGTCCATGAAATCTTCACAATTTATGTTCTTCTGCCTCAGCTCCAGCCGGTCCTTCCGTTCGGGGTCCCTGACTTCCCGCAACAATTCTTTTTTATGGCTGCATTGTATTTTATTGTGTATATGTACTGCATTTTCTTTATCCATTCACCTGTTAAGTGATGCTTATCTTGCATCCAAATCTTGGCTATTGTGAATAGTGCTGCAATAAACATGAGTGTGCTGATATCTCCTTGATATACTGATTTCCTCTTTTGGGTATATAGCCAAAAGTGGGATTACTGGCTCATATGGTAGCTTTATTTTTACTTCTTAACTCCAAACTGTTCTCCATAGTGGTTGTACTAATTTACATTCCCACCAACAGTGTACAAAGATTGCCTTTCCTTCACATCCTTGCCAGCATTTGTTTTTGACTGTCTTTTGGATATAAACCATTTTACCTGGGGTGAGTTGATATCTCATTGTAGTTTTGACTTACATTTCTCTGATGAGCAATAATTTTGAGCACCTTTTGATATATCTGTTTGCTGTTTGTATGTCTTCTTTTGAGAAATGTCTATTCAGATTTTTGCCTATTTTTAAATCAGATTATTAGATTTTTTTTCCTATAGAATTATCTGAGCTCCTTAGATATTTTGGTTATTAATCCCTTGTCAAATGGATACTTTGCAAATATTTTCTTCTATAGTGAGGGTTGTAATTTCACTTTGTTGATTATTTACTGTTCAAACGCTTTTAAACTTGATGTAATCCTATGTGTCCATATTGGCTCTGGTTGCCCATGCTTGTGGAGCATATGTCAAGAAACCTTTGCCCACTTCAATGTCTTGGAGAGGTTCCCCAATTTTTTTTCTTAGTAGTTCCATAGTTTGAGGTCTTAGATTTAAGTCTTCAATCCATTTTTGATTTGATTTTTGTATATGGTAGGAGATAGGTCTTTAGTTTTTTTTTTCTGCATGTGAATATCCAGTTTTCCCACCATCATCTATTGAAGAGATTGTCCATTCCCCAACGTGCATTCTTGGTGCCCTTGTTAGAAATGAGTTCACTGTAGATGTATGAATTTGTTTCTGGGTTCTCCATTCTGTTTCACTCCATTCTGTTTCACTGGTCTATGTGTCTGTTTTTATGCCACTGCCATGCTGTTTTGGTTACTATAACACTGTTGTATAATATGAAGTCGGATAATATAATTCCACCAGTTTTGTTCTGTTTGCTTATGATAGCTTTGGCTATTCTGGATCTTTTGTAGTTCTATATAAATTTTGGGATTTTCTTTCCTGTTTCTGTGAAGAATGTCATTAGTATTTTGATAGGAATTGCATTGAATCTGTAGATTGCTTTGGGAAGTATGAACATTTTAACAACGCAGATTCTTCCAATCCATGAACATGGAATATCTTTCCATTTTTTGTGTTCTCTAATTTCTTGCATCAATGTTTTATAGTATTCATTGTAGAGATCTTCCATTTATTTTGTTAATTCCTAGGTATTTTATTTGATTTTTAGTTATTGTAAATGGGATTACTTTCTTCATTTATATCAGATTGTTCACTTTGGGCATATAGAAATGCTAAGGATTTTTTGTATGTTTTTTTATGCTGTAAACTTGAATTTGTTTATCAGTTCCAATATATTTTTGATGGAGTCTTTACATTTTTTTCAAACGTAACATTGTATTATCTGCAAACAAGGATTATTTGACATCTTCCTTTCCAATTTGGATGCCCTTTCCTTTTTTCTCTTGTCTGATTGCCTTAGCTAGGACTTCCAGGACTATGTTGAGTAACAACAGTGTTGAAAGTTGGCAGTTGGCATTTATGTCACATTCCAGATCTTAGAGCAACAGCATTCTGTTTTTCTCCATTCAGTAAGATACTCTACATGAATCTGTTGAACATGGATTTCATTGTATTAATGTATGTTTCTTCTATACCGAGTTTTTGAGAGCTTTTGTCATAAAGGGATGTTGAATTTTATCAAATGCTTGTTCAGCATCAATTGAAATGATCATATGGCTTTTCTCCTTCATTCTGTTGATATAATGTTCACATTACTTGATTTACATATGTTGAATCATTCTTGCACCCCTGGGATAAATCCCACTTGGTCATGATAAGTGATCCTTTTAATGTATTATTGAATTCAGTTTGGTAGTATTTTGTTTAGGACTTCTGCATCAATGTTCATCATGGATATTGAGCTATAGTTTGTGTACGTGTGTGTCTTTGTTTAGTTTTGGTTTCAGGGTAACAGTGGCATAACAGAATGAGTTTGGAGTAATTCCTCCTCTTCCACTTTTCAGAATAGTTTGAGTAGGATTGACAGATTTTCTTTAAATGTTTAGTAAAATTCAGCAGTGACACCATCAGATCTTGGCTTATTTTTGTTGGGACACTTTTTATTATAATTTCAATCTTGTTATTTGTTATTGATCTGCTCATGTTTTGTATTTCTTCATAGTCTAATCTAGGTGGGTTGTATGCATCTAGAAATGTATCAATTTCTTCTGGATTATCCAATTTATTGGCATATAGTTGCTCATGGTAATTTCCAATTATCTTTTCAATTTCTGCAGTATTGGTTATAAAGTCTCTTTTTTATCACTCACTTGATTTATTTGGTCTTCTCTCTCTTTTTCTTAGTGTGGCTAAAAGATTGTGGGTTTATTCAGAAAACAAACTTTTAGTTTTGTAAATCTTTTGTATTGTTGTTTTGTTTCAATTATATTTCTTTCTGCTCTGCTCTTTAATTTCTTCTCCTCTACTGATTTTGGGTTGTGTTTTCTCTTGCTTTTCTAGCTCTTTTGTATCATTAGGTTCTTCATTTAAAGTTTTTCCTCTTTGTGATGTAAGTGCTTATTACTGTAAACTTTCCTCTAGGTACTGCTTTCGTTTTATCCCGTAGGTTTTGCTATATCGTGTTTCTGTTTTCATTTTGTTGGTGAATTTTTAAAATTTTATCTTAATTTCTTCCTGGTCTGACTGGCCATTCAGGAGCTTATTGTTTAATTTCCATGTGTTTGTATAGTTTCCAAAAATTTCTCTTCTTGAATTTTACTTTTATTTTATTGGGGTTAGAGAAGATATGAGATAAAATTTCAATTTACTGAATTTTTTAAGGGTTGTTTAGTGGCCTAACATATGGTCTCTACTTGAGAATAATCTGTGTTCTGAGGAGAAATTTGTATTCTGCAGCCTTTGGAGGAAGTATTCTATAAATGTCTATCAGGTCCATTTGGTCTGTAATACTGATTAAGTTTGATGTTTCTTCATTAATTTTTTCTAGATTAATTGTCCAATGCTGAAAGTTAGGTGTTAAGGAATCCAGATATTATTATGTTTGAATCTGTGTCTCTCTTTATCTCTAATAATTTCTCTCTATATGTGTGTTCCAGTGTTGGGTGCATATATATTTTCAATTTATATATCCTCTTCCTGAGTTGACCCCTTTATTATTATATAATGACCTTTCTTCTCTCTTTTTATACTTTTGGTCTTGAAATCTATTTTGTCTAATATCAGTATATCTCCTCCAACTCTTTCTTGGTTTCCATTTGCATGCATTATCATTTTGCATCTCTTCATTTTCCATCTATCTGTGTCTTTACAGACAAAGTGTGTTTCTTATAGGCAACAGGTAGCTGGGTCTTGAGGGATTTTGTGTTTGTTAGTTTTTGATCATTCAGCCACTCTATGTCTTTTGGTTGGAGAGTTTAATCAGTTTACATTCAATGCTATTATTGGTAAATAAGGACTTACTCTTGCCATTTTGTTAGTTTTCTGGTTGTTTTGTGGTCTTCTCTTTCACCTTTCCTTCCATACTGTCTTCCTTTTAGGGAAGGTAATTTTCTGTGCTTGTATGATTTAATTTCCTGCTTTTAATTTTTGGGTATATCTTGTATTTTTTTTTTATTTGAGGTTATCATGAGGCTTGAAAATAATATCTTATAATCCATTATTTTAAACTGATGATAATTTTACACTGATAGTATAAACAAACAAAAACAAGCAAATAGATAATTAACAAAAACTCCACACTTTAACTTAATCCCTCACTTTTTAACTTTTAGTCATTTCTATTTATATCTTATTGTACTCTCTATATCTTGAATGTTGTTGGTTTTATTATTTTTGTTTGGTTTGTCTTTTAGTCTTTCTAGTCAAGATATGAGTAGGTTACACACCACAATTAGACTTTTGTAACACTTTGTGGTTTTCTATGTACTTACTATTACCAGTGAGTTTTGTACCTTCAGATAATTTCTTATTGCTCATTAGCATCCTTTCCCTCAGGTTGAAGAACTCCTGCTCGCATATCATGTAGGAAAAGTCTGGAGTTGATGAAATCCCTCAGCATTTGGTTGTTTGAAAAAAAATATTACTTCTCCTTCATATTTGAAGGATATTTTTCATTGGATATACTATTCTGGGATAAAAGTTTTTTCCTGCAGCACTTTGAAAATGTCAGGCCACTCTCTTCTGGCCTGTAAGATTTCCACTAAAGGTCTGCTGCCAGATGTACTGGAGCTCCTTTGTATGTTATTTGTTTATTTTCTCTTACTGAATTTAGGATCCTGTCTTCACCCTTGATCTTTGGGAGTTTGATTATTAAGTGCTTTCAGGTAGTCTTATTTGGGTTAAGTCAGCTTGGTGTTATATAACATTCTTGTAACTTATATATTGACATCTTTCTCTAGGTTTAGGAAGTTCTTTGTCATTATTCCTTCAAATAAACTTTCTCCCCACATCTCTCTCTCTCTTCTTTAGGCCAATAATTCTCTGATTTTCTCTTTTGAGGCTGCTTTCTGTATTGTGTAGGTATACTTCATGTTTTTTAGTCTTTTTTCCTTTGTCTATGTATTAGTCCATTCTCACACTGCTATGAAGAAATACCCGAGACTGGGTAATTTATAAAGGAAATAATTTTAATTGACTCACAGCTTTGCGTTGCTGGGGAGGCCTCAGGAAACCTACAATTATGGTGGAAGGCAAAGGAAAAGCAGGCACCTTCTTCACAGGGTGGTAGGACAGAGTGAGTGCAAGCAGGAGAAATGCCAGATGTTTATAAAACCATCAGATCTTGTGAGACTCACTCATCATCACAAGAAGAGCATGGGGGAAATCACCCCTATGATTCAATTACCTCCATCTTGTCCCACTCTTGACAGGTGGGGATTATGATTCAAGGTGACATTTGGGTGAGGACACAGAGTCAAACCATATCATTTTATTCTTATTATATATTTTCAAATAGCCTGTCTTCAAGCTCACTAATTCTTCCTTCTGCTTGATTAATTCTGCTGTTAAGAGATTTTGATGCATTGTTCAGTATGTCAGTTGCACTTTTCAAGTTCGGAATTTCTATTTGACCCTTTTCAATTATTTCAATCTCCTTTAAAATTTATCTAATAGGATTCTGAATTCCTTCTCTGTGTTATCTTAAATTTCATTGAATATTCTCAAAACAGTTATTTTGAATTCTCTGTGGACAGGTCACATATCTCTGTGTCTCCAGGATTGGTCACTGGATTCTTATTTAATTTGTTTTGTGAGGTCATGTTTTCCTGGATGACCTTGAAGTCTGCTGATGTTTTTCAGTATCTGGGCATTAAAGAATTAGGTATTTATTGTAGTCTTCACCATTAGGGCTTATTTGTAGCTGTCCTTTTTTGTGATGACTTTCCAGGTATTCAAAGGGACTTGAGTGTTGTGATCTAAGTTGTAGGTTACTGCAGCCATGTCTCCACTAGGGAGTGAATTAATCTGTTTTTATGCTGCTAATAAAGACATACCAAAGACTGGGTAATTTATAACAGCAACAAAAAAAAAGTTTAATTGAATTTCAGTTCCATGGCTGGGGAGGCTTCACAATCATGGCTGCAGGTAAATCAAAAGAGGAGCAAAGTCACCCCTTACATGGAGGCAAGCAAGAGAACTTGTGTAGGGGAAATTCCCTTTATAAAACCATCAGATCTTGTGAGATTTACTCACGATGCTGAGAACAGCATGAAAAAGACTAGACCCCATGATTCAACTACCTCCCACCTGGGAGCTATAATTCAAGATGAGATTTGGGTGGGGACACAGCCAAATTATATCATTCCACCCCTGGCCCCTCGCAAATCTCATGTTCTCACGTTTCAAAACATAATTATGCCCTTCCAATGACTTCCCCAAAGTCTTAACTCACTTCAGGTTAACTCAAAAGTTCACACTCCAAAGTCTCATCTGAGACAAGGCAAGTCCCTTTCACCTATGAGCCTATAAAATCAAAAGCAAGTTAGTTACTTCCTAGATACATTGAGGATACAGGCATTGGTTAAATACACCCTTTCCAAATGAGAAAAATTGGCCAAAACAAAAGGGCTACAGGACCCATGCATGTCTGAAATCCAGCAGGGCAGTCATTGACTCCATATCTCAAATCCAGGTCACGCTAATGCAAGAGTTGGGTTCCCATGGTCTTAGACAGCTCTGCCCCTTTGGCTTTTCTGGGTACAGCCCCTTCCTGGCTGCTTTCATGGGCTGGCATTGAGTGTCTGGGGCATTTCCAGGTGCGTGGTGCAAGCTGTCAGGGGATCTACTATTCTGGGTTCTGGAGGACAGTGACTTTGTTTTTACAGCTCCACTAAGCAGTGCCCCAGTGGGGACTCTGTTTGGGAGCTTACACCCCACATTTCCCTTCTGCACTGCCCTGGTAGAGGCTCTTCATGAGGACTCTGCCCCTGCAGCACACCTCTGCCTGGACATCCAGGCATTTCCATACATCATCTGAAATTTAAGTGGAGGTTCCCAAACCTCAATTCTTGACTTGTGTGCACCTGCAGGCCCAACACCACGTGTAAGACACCAAGGCTTGTGGCTTGCACCCTCTGACCTAACAGCCTGAGCTGTATGTTGGCCCCTTCTAGACATGGCTGGGATGCAGGGAACCAAGTCTCGAGACTGCACAAAGCGGAAAGGCCCTGGGCCCAGGCCTTTAAACCATTTTTCCTCCTAGGCATCCTGGCTTGTGATGGGAGGGGCTGCCATGAAGCCCTCTGACATGCCTTGGGAGACATTTTCCCCATTGTCTTGGTGATTAACATTTGGCTCCTTTTTACTTTTGCACGTTTCTGTAGCTGGCTTGAATTTCTCCTCAGAAAATGGGTTTTTCTTTTCTATTGCATCATCAGGCTGCAAATTTTTTGAACTTCTATGCTCTGCTTCCCTTTTAAACATAATTTCTAATTCCAAACCATATCTTTGTGAATGAATAAACCTGAATGCTTTTAAGAGCACCCAAGTCACATCCTGAATGCTTTGCTGCTTAGAAATTTCTTCTGCCAGATGCCTGAAATCACCTCTCTCAAGTTCAAAGCTCCACAAATCTCCAGGTCATGGGCAAAATGCTTCCAGTCTCTTTGCTAAAGCATAGCAAGAATCACCTTTGCTCCAGTACCCAACAAGTTCCTCATCTCCATCTGAGACCACCTCAGCCTGGACTTTATTGTCCATATCACTATCAGCATTTTGGTCAAAGCCATTCAACAAGTCTCTAGGAAGTTCCAAACTTTTTCACATCTTCCTGTCTTCTTCTGAGCTCTCTAAACTGTTCTAACCTCTGCCTGTTACCCAGTTCCAAAGTTGCTTCCACATTTTTGGGTATCTTTACAGCAGCACCTTGCTCTACCAGTACCAATTTACTGTATTAATCTGTTCTTACACTGTTAATAAAGACAATATTGAGACTGAGTAATTTATAAAGGAAAGAGGTTTAATGGACTTACCGTGCCATGTGGCTGGGGAGGCCTACAATCATGGCTAAAGGCGAGTAAAGAGCAAAGTCATGTCTTACCTGGCAGCAAGCAAGATAGCTTGCATAAGGGAACTACCCCTTGTAAAACCATCGGATCTCATGAAACTCACTATCATGAGAACTGCATGGGAAAGATCCTCCCTCATTACTCAATTACCTCACTCCAGGTCCCTCCCATGACATGTGGGAATTATGGGAGCTACAATTCAAGATGAGATTTGGGTGGGGACACAGCCAAACCCTATTGGGGGCATCCCAAGCCCAGTAACACTGTGGGTTTTACTGACTCATATAGGTATGGCCTTGGTGGTTTTGGGTAAAATCTTGAAAGTTTCTCTGCATTACCCGGCAAAGAAGCTCGTTGTGTTCCCTTACTTTCTGCCAAACAAATGGAGTCTTTCTCTCTCTCTCTCTCTCTGTGCTAAACTGCCTGGAGCTGGGGAAGGGGTGACACAAGCACCCCTGTGGTCACCACTGCTGGACTGTGCTGGTTCAGACCTTAAGCCAGCACAGAACTGGGACCTGATCAAGGCTTATTGTACCCACTGCCTGGCCACTGCCTATGTTTCCTCAAGGCCCCATGCATCTATCATTAGCAGAGAATGAACCCAGCTAGGCTTCTGTCCTGCCTTTCATGGTGGCAAGTTTTCTCAGCCCCAGGCAGGTTCAGATGTGTCATCTGGGAGGCAAGGCCTGGACTCCAGAACCTTAGGCATCTAATTGGTGCTATATTCTACTGCAACTGAGACAACACCCAAGCCACAAGAAAAATGTCTTTCCATTCTTTCCCCTTTGCTCAAGCAGAGGAGTCTCTTCCTCATGACCACCACCACCCCAGGCCCTCAGTGAGTACTGCCTGGCTATTGCTCATGTTCACTCAAGGCCCGTGAGCTCTTTAGTCAAATTGTGGTGAAAGTTCATCAGGCCTGGCACTCTCCCTTTAGGACAGTGTGCTCCCCTGTGGTCCAGAGCAGGTCCAGTGATGCTGTGTAAGACCCATGTCCTTCATTCAGGAGCCCCAGGAGCTCAGTTGGTGTTCTACCCCACTGTGGCCCAGCTGGTACCTAAGCTGCAGGACAAAGTTTCCTGTAGTCTCTCTTTTTTCAAGAAGATGGAGTCCCTCCCCATAACCACCACAGCTGGGAATGTGCTTGGTCACACCTGAAGTCAGCCCATCTCAGAGTCTTAACCAAAGTTCATGGCATGTAATATCTGGCCACCACTGCTTATTATTCTTGACCTAAGGGCTCTTTAATCATCTAGTAATGAATCCTGCCAGGGACGGGTCATTCCCTTGGCGGCACCAGGTTCACTCTGGCTGAAGGTATATCTACAGATGCCTGGAGCTAGGGCCTGAAATGGGGACCTCAGGACCCTGCCTATTGCCCTATCCTATTATTGCTGAGATGATATCCAAGTTGCAAGACAAAGTCCTCATTTTTTTCCTCTATTCTCCTCAAATGGAAGGGCAGATTCTCTCCCAGAGCTGTAAGCTGAAATTGCTGGGATTTGGGAATGGGTGACACAAGCACTCCCTTGGCCACCCCAGCTGGTACTATGCATCCCAACACATGATCAAGACTTGTCCAGGAATTACAGTCCTTGTGGCCTAGACTGCCTTTCAACTTTATTTAGAATGCCAGAACTCTTTAACCCACGGTGGCATTACTTGCTAGAAGTCAAGTTGCGACCACCATGATGGGCAATTCCCCTCTGGCTAGTGCTAGTCTAAATGCTCGCAGCTCTGCCAGGTGCTGTTTTCCACTGTGACAGGGAAACACTGGGTTCCAATTTAAAGTCCCGTATTCATTGTGCTCTGCCTTCTCTTAGCTCACAGGTTCACTCTTTGTACCACATGGCAACTGCCCAGGAATGGGGAAGGAGTGGCATCTGCAATTCAAGACTGTCTTTCCTACCCCTCATCAGTGTCTTTTTCAGTTATATGGAGTTAAAATCGGCGTTGTGATCACTCACCTGATTTTTGGTTCTTATAAAGGTGCTTTTTTTGTGTAGATAATTGTTAAATTTGGTGATCCTGCAGGAAGGATGGTTGGTAGAGGCTTCTATTTGGTCATGTTGCTCTGTCTCCAAACATATGAAAATTTTTATGTGTACTTTTGCATTTATCATGGACTTTAGTTTTTCTTAAATTTGATGAAAATTTAACCTACCATCAGGAGAAATTTTAGACACAAGAACAAAAAAGATAATCCTACAATGTGTTTTGTTGTTGTCTGAGACATTTTAACAAATTAGACATTACAAATATCTGGTTTGCCAAATCAAACTTTTTGATACATCACTATTCTACAATTCTGAGTGGTTTAATTGAACATCTTACTTGTCTGTACACTGACTCGTGCTGGTGTTTTTGTTACCCAAGGAATTTAGCTAGTGTATCTGAATGCTAAGGAAAGTGGAACTAATTGGTGGCTTGCAAAGTAAGGTGTTAATAAGTAACACTTTAAATGTGTTACTTATTAATAGCTGTTAGGCATATATGGTATGGAAATGGTAAACAATTGAATATTAATTTTCTTCTTTAAAATCATTAAATCTTAGGTGCTTCAAATTTTATAACTAAAAATTTTAAAGATCTACCCAGACCTCTCTGTTTCACAAATGGGAAAAGAAAGGAAGGCCCAGAAAGAAAAATATTTTCTTTATTTAAGTAATGGGGGATAAAAAGTAATTTTGATTTTCTTTTATTTGCAAATGTGCTAATGAAAAAACAGTATATAATAAAGTTTTTTTAATGAAGAAAAGTAATTTAAACTAAAAAAAGTTACCAATTTTTTATTGGAATTTTTCTAAATCGCTTTTGAAACAATATTGCTATAATACATAAATAATGAGACTAATGGTAAACTCTAAAATGTGGTAACGCCAGATAAACACATTTGGTAAGGTTATTGCTTCAATTTTGTGCTATGTGAATTATATATCTCCACAAACTTTTTCAGGAAAATCAATTAAGACCTTCCTTTGGCCATTTTCTAATTTTTCCATTACTAGATAAAAGAGCTATTAGGTCAAATAGATTATTTTTCTAGAAACAAATTATTGATTATTACTTAAACATCACTAGCGTATATGGATTGTGCTTTAATATCTTACTTCTGAAAATGTAGATACAAAATAAGGTTTTTATAAAATGGCCTAAAGGAAAAATTTTTATCTATTATGTAAGCAAAATTCTTGGAGTCAAAGAGACATGGAAGAACAGAAAAATAAGAAATGTAAAGTTTTCAATATGTAGCCTTAAATAATTAATTTATTAGTTGAGTTTGGTGTTCTTAGGATAAAGATGCAAAAAAGCAGCTTAAACAACATCTCAATAAGACATTATTGAGCAGGGATGCTGCATTATGTTTGTCTTTTATGTCTTGTATGTGTTTCTCCTATGAGCCTCCAGGTGAGGCTCCCTCACAGAACTCATTGTAGACTATTTAACTGTCTATGATCTTCCTTTTGTATGTTTATTAGCCCTTTGTAATTTTTTCACTGTGAATTTGCCACTCAAACAATTTACTCATTTTAATGGGGTGCTGGTCTTATTCTTTTCTTTATTAAAACATCATTAGCAATTATTTCATGTTTATATATTCATGTAAATAGTAGATATTCTGTGTAGTACTAAGAAAAAAGATTGGGACTTTCGTTTCTAGAAAAATGGTGGGTTAGATTGTTCAGAGTAATCATATTAATGTAAATATGAAAATAGTTTGATGTAACTCATTTTAAAATAATTTTAATTAATAAGACATCCAACAAGACAGTAAATGCATTTAAGAGAATTAGAAATCCAGGGAGGTTAAGTGGAACCATTAAGACATTTGCCCTAAAGGCATTTGCCAATCTGTGAATAGGTAAAAACTTCTGTTTTGATGACTTTTGATGGCAAGGGGAGCAGAAGTTGAAGTCTTTGGTTTCCTAGAGTGGAAACTTCAATAGAACCCATAACACATGAATTTTGGATTCCCAGAAAACATACCTTCAGAGGGAAGGAGACATAACTACCACCAGAAAGTATTTTTCTAAAAAGTTGCTCAGAACTTGGAGGAATAAGGGAAAAAAAAAAAAAAACTCTTAAGCAGTGGGGAAAAAAAAAGCTGTCCTGTGCACTTGTAATTCCAAGGAGACATATTCTAACCATTGTCAGATGACAGAGGTGGAACAACCAGTCTCTAAGGGGATCCAGACTTTCCCTCATCTTTCTGTGCTTCCCTTATCTCCTGTTGGGCTTAGAAGCCCTCCAAACTCTCCCAACCTCTGCCTGTTACAGTTTCAAAGCTGCTTCCACATTTTTAGATTTCTTAATGGAAAGACCTCACTCCCTGGGATCAATTATCTGTTAGTCTCTTCTTGCATTGCCATAAATAAATATCTGAAACTGGATAACTTAAAAGAAAAGTGGTTTAATTGGCTTACAGTTCAGTAGGCTGTAGAGGAAGCATGGTGCCAGCATCTGCTCAGCTTCTGATGAGACCTCAGGAAGCTTATAATCATGGTAGAAGGCAAAGTTGGAGCAGGCATGTCACATGGCGAGAGACAGATCAAGAAAGGGGAAAGAAGGGCAACAATCTTTTATACAATCAGATCTTGTGTGAACTAACAGAGTGAGAATTCACTAATCACCAAGAGGTTGATGCTAAACCATTCATGAGGGATTAGCCCCCATGATGCAAACACCTTCAGCATTGTGGATTACAGTTTAACATGAGATTTGGAGGAGACAGACTTCCAAATTATATCACTAATCCTACTCAAACTATTCTGAAAAATAGAGGAAGGAATACTTTCAAACTCATTCAATGAGGCCAATATTACTTTGATACTAAAACTAAACATACGTCAAAAAGGAAAACTACAGGCCAATATCCCTGATGAATATTGATGCAAAAATCCTTAAAAAATAAACCCAACAAACTGAAGTCAACAACACATTAAAAATACAGTTCATCACAACCAAGTAAGATTTACCCTAGGGATGCAAGGATGGTTCAACATATTTGAATCAATCAATGTGATACATCATATCAACAGGATGAAGGAGTAAAACCATATTAGCATTTTAATTGATGCTGAAAAAAATCTGATAAAGTTCAGTACCCCTTCATGATAAAAATTTTCAAAAAACTGGATATAGAAGGAATATACCTCAAAGCAATAAAAGCCATATATGACAGACCCATATCTTGTATTTTACTGAATAGGAAAAACTGAAAGCCTTTTCTCTAAGATCTAAAACAAGACAAGGATTCCAACTTTCACTATTGTTATTCAACATAGTACTGGAAGTCCTAGCTAGAGCAATCAGAGAAAAAAAAAAGAAAGGGCATGCAAATTGGAAAGAACGAAGTCAAATTATCTTTGTTTGCAGATTATATGATCTTAGTGAAATAAGGTAGGCGCAGAAAGACAAATTTCACAAATATCCCAAATTTATACATCTACAGTGAACTCATTTTTAACAAAAGTGTCAAGACTGTACACTGGGCAGAGGACAATCTCTTCAATAGATGGTGCTGGGAAAACTGTATATTCATATGCCTAAGAATAAAGCTAGACCTCTATCTTCCACCATATGCAAAAATCAAATCAAATCAAAATGGATTAAAGACTTAAATCCAAGACCTAAAACTATGGAACTACTAAAAAAAAAAAAAAACTGGGAACCTCTCCAGGACATTGAACTGGGCAAATATTTCTTGCCTCTTAGCCCACAAGCACAGGCAACCAAAGCAAAAAAGAACAGATGTGATTATCTCAAGTTCAACTGCTTCTTCACAGCAAAGGTAATAATCAACAAAGTGAAATGACAACTCACAACATGACAGAAAATATTTGCAAACTACCAACTCGACAAGGGATTTATAACCGGAACATATTATAAACTCAAACAGCTCAACAGAAAGAAATCTAATAATCCAATTAAAAAATGGACAAAGGGTCTGAATAGATGTTTCCCAAAAGAAGACATAAAATGGCAAACAGATATATGGAAAGGTGTTTAACATCACTGCACCACAGGGAAATGCAAATCAATAAGGCAATAAAATACCAAATTACCCCACTTAAAATAGTTTTTATCCAAAAGACAGGCTCTGTTGATAGGAATGTTAATTAGTGCATCCACTATAGAGAACAGTTTGGAAGGTCCTCAAAAAACTAAAAATAGAACTACCATATGATTTAGCAATCCCACTGTTAAGTATATGCCCCAAAGAAAAGTAATCAATATATCAAACAGATATCTGCATTCCCTTATTTATTTCAGGACTATTCACAATAGCCAGATTTTAAGCAACCTAAGTGTCATCAACAGATGAATGGATAAAGTGTCAGATGTATACACAATGTAGTACTATTCAGTCACCAAAAAGAATAACATCTTGTGATTTGCAACAACATAGATGGAGCTGTAGGTCATTATGTTTAGTGAAATAAGGCAGGCACAGAAAGACAAATATCACATGCTGCCAATCATTTGTGGGAGCTGAAAAATTAAAACGACTGAACTCATGAAGATAGCGTGTAGAATAATGTTTAGTTACCAGAGGCTGAGAAGAATAGTAAGGGAGAAGGGGAAAGTGAGGATAGTTACTGGATACAAAAAACTAGTTAGATAGCATGAATAAAATCGAGTATTTGAGAGCACAATGGGAGGACTACAGTCAACAATAATTTATTGTACATTTTCAAATAATGGAAAGAGTATAATTGGATTATTTGTAAGACAAAGGATGAATTCTTGAGGTGATGGATACTCCATTTATCCTGATTTAATTTTTACCTATTGTATGCCTGTATCACAACATCTCATAGACCTCATAAATATATATACTTACTATGTACCAACAAAAATTAAAATACAAAAATTAAGATGAGGTCATACTGGATAGAGTAGGTTTTAATTCTATATAACTGGTGTCTTTTTTTTTTTTTTTTTAATTTTTGAGACAGGGTCTCATTTTGTCCCCCCAGTCTGGAATGTAGTGGTGTGATCTCCACTCATTGCAACCTCCATCTCAAAGGCTCAAGCCATCCTCTGCCTCAGTCCCACAAGTAGCAGTGAACACAGGTGCATGCCACCAAGCCTGGTTAATTTTGTACTTTTTGTAGAGACTGGGTTTCTCCATGTTGCCCAGGCTGCTCGAACTCCTGAGCTCAAGTGATCCACCCTCCTCAGCCTCCCAAAGTGCTAAGATTACAGGCATGAACCACTGCACTCAGCCTTGTCTTTGTTAAGAAAAGAGGTGACAGGCACACAGTGGAGAAGGCCATGTGAAGACTGAGGCAGAGAATAGAATGATGTAGCTATAAGGTAAGGAATAGCAGGGAAATTAAAAGAAGCAAAAAATATTTCTATCCTAAAACCTTCACAGAGCTCCTGCCCATTGCTGACAAGTTAGTTTTGGACCACTAGGTCTAGAAATGTGCAATAATAAATTTCTGTTGCTTTTAGTCACTTAGTTTGTGGCACTTTGTCATGGCAGCCCTATAAAATGAATACACGGGGTATGCTATTTCTGCCAGATTTTATCTTTCAGTTTCTCCAATTCCCAGTCAGGGGATGTGTTTATCTGAGACAAAAAGGTGCTAGCTTCTTCTGCAGGACATCCTCTTAATTAAAGTCCTCAAAGCTGGATGCTTGGAAATGGTCAGGGACAAATGCAGTTTTCTGTATGACTTTCTGTATGGAAGACAAACTGTTTCCAGTTGTGTTCCAGCTCAGCCTCACAGGTTTCAGATTATTCTTTCTTTCCCCTCTTCATATCAGTTTTCTTTTCCTAACTGAATATCTTGCAAACTTCAGGTTTCCACATAGGACCCAGGAACAATAGCCACCACTTCTCTAATTGAACCCTGACTAACACACTTGGTTAAATACATATATATATATATATATATATATATATATGTTTCTATAAACTTATTTTGTTTAAATGTGTAAAAATCATGCTATGTTACCTCCCAATAGTTTTGTTTTTTTCTTCTACATTACTATCTTTTAATCTTAGCTTTTAAAATATTTATTAAATACTGACTAAAATATCACTGGTACTTTTACCTCAATGTCTTATATGCCTGAAGAAACCAACAATGCTTGCACCTGTAAAAAATAAATGGGTAAAAATCTACCAGTGTGACAATTACAATGTTAGTAATTGTATGAATCAGAACTTACTCTACTGCTGAAAATAGAGAAAATGCTTACTTTAATTTAAAACATTAGCTATTTGTATCCAGCATCAAGCTTTTACACAAAGAATAATTCTATGCGATACCAAAAGACTCACAAAATCAGTCAATTATTTATAAAATAGATTATTTTTATAAAACAAGCAGTTATTTTTGTGAACTGAATAATTTGGTAATTAAAATAACCTGATAGTTCCATTTTAAAAATTAGGTTAGTGTGGAGATATCCTAGTAACATTTTCAAGTATTTTAATCCTGTGAGAACTACACAAACCTAAATAACCTAGAAGTCTAATGCAATATTTTTACATACGCAAATACTAATTCCCACCCTCCATACTCACAGAAGTTTATGATATACACAGTATTTGCTGTTCCTTTCTTTTCAGAAATAGAGACTGATCTCACAAGATGAGATAGGAAATATTCTGATTAAAAACACCAGAAAAAGAAAGAAGTGTAAATGGGAAGATATACTCTGAGTACGAAAATCCACTTACCAGAAGCAACTTCTGTTTTGAAAAACACAATTCTGTGTTTTACTTTTTACTGTGCACTAAAAGATAAATTGATTCATACATTCCATAGATTATATATCTGTGTGGAATATAAAAGGGTCTATGTGTATATTACTACTTAGAATATATTTGAATCTGACATGACTTCTGAAAGCTGAATGTAACTTACAGTGATTTTAGTTATTCTTTATTGTATTTTATTAGATGCTAGTTGCTGCATAAGGAATTTTGTGTGTATTAACTTGTATAATCTACACACTAATATTACTAAGAAAACACTGGCTTTCTGTGCAAATTATATTTTAAATCTGGATCTTCATAAGTTTAGGTAACTTTCCCAAATACTCACTGTCTGTAATTTAGGGAACCAGCATTCACATTCAGTTGTCTTGACTCCCAAGTCTATATAACAGCTATGCATGCTGTTCTTCCCCTTTACTGGCCAGATAAGAGTCTTGTCACTCGGAATTATGACAGAGTAAGAGAAAATATTAGAGACTTCACAATTTTCTTTCAAAATGTCTGCAAATGAATATGTAAGGGAATTCTCCAGAATAGCATATGAAACTGATGACAATCAAAAGTGATGAAGTCAAGCATGTTCCAAAGAGAATCTAATAAAGGACATTAAAAACCACCAATGATTATGATTTTGGAACTATGCAGAACAGGACAAAGAGTGAAGGAGGCTGTCTGAGGTGCTGAAATACAGCATACAAACATGTTACAGACTAAGTATAAAATCTTGTATTAATTCAGGCTTCCATACTGAGTTCCTCAGGTAACACATAAAATGATCACTGGTCACAATTTGGAAGAAACTAATTATAAACAATCAAATAAATAATAGAAACTAAAAAAAAAAAAGCCTTGCCATATTGACTTTAAAAAATCCCATGCAGGCCATTATGTAATAAATCATATGAAAACTATATAATTTTAATATAGTAGTATTTTTCAATCTGGTCCAATATTGTTGGCTAAGTAAGTTCTGCTGTCTCAAATCCATTAAGAATTTGTGGGAATACATGTGATCTTTTATTAATAGATGCTTAAAAAGACATATAATCAATTTTATAAAAATTAAAGTTTAGTATGAAAGTTATTTGTCATCATTTGAATACATTTTATTTTTAACCAACTTGGATCTCTCAGACTCTGAGAAATTTATCAATATAAACATTTCTGTCATATGTTTCTCATATTTCTTACATTTTTATCTTTGTATTTTGGTGATTTTTAATTTGGATGATATAGTTTTGGGACATGTAAAGTTAAATATGTATAACTTTATTGGAGTAAAAATTTACCCCCAATATTTTGCTTACTATTTTAAATTCAATTTTTTGAGATTAATATTAGTTACCTTTCTTTCTTTTTCTTGTATAGCATACCTAACAAATGTTTGGCTTTTTTGCCTATTTAATTTTGATTTGAGTGTGTTGATTTAAGTTTAAGTAATAACATATTGTAATTTCTGTTTCAAGATAGTGAGCTGAGCACATGCTTCACTCTTACCTTCCTGTAACAAATATCTAGAAACAATATAATATTTAAACAACAGGAAAACAAAAAACAAATAGGCTCTTTCCCAGGACCAGATGTTGTGACAAGGTCCCAAAAGTTAGAAAACAGATAAAATTTACAAGGTAAGCCTCAGCCAAGGACACACATAGAAAATTACAACTGTGAATGGTGCTGAAAGCTAATTGAAGCCAAACAAAAAGGGAGACTTTTGAGTGATCGGGCCACGTGTTTTCCAAAACCTCCTACATTCTGTGTTCATTAGGCTTACTAGATATTAAGCAATGGAGTGTTTTCCTCAGCAAAACTCCCTGGCAAAAAAAAGAAAGTTGCATATTCTTTTTAAATATGTGTAATATATTCATAAAAATGGTTTTAAAAGGAGTCTTAGAAACATGCTCAAAATGTTGATAATGTGAGAGTGAAATTCAATTATCATGAAGCAGTAGCTGTAAAACTTGACAAAAGAATTAACAAAATATCTCTCAATCATAAAATTTAAGAAAAATTAATGCTTCTAAATAAGTCTTGCATTTATAGATAAAATGGATGTAGTAGTTCGTTTTCATGCTGTTGATAAAAACATACCTGAGACTGGGCAATTTACAAATGAAAGAGGTTTAATTGGACTTACAGTTCCACTTGGCTGGGGAAGCCTCACAATCATGGCGGAAGGCAAGGAGCAGCAAGTCATGTCTTACATGAATGGCAGCAGGCAAAAAGAGAGCTTATGCAGGGAAACTCCCATCTTTCAAAACCATGAGCTCTGGTGAGACTTATTCACTATCATGAGAACAGCATGGGAAAGACGTGCCCCCATGATTCAATTACCTTCCACCAGATCCCTTCCATAACACGTGGGAATTCAAGATGAGATTTTGGTGGGGACTCAGCCAATCCATATAATTCCATTCTAGCCCCTCCCACATCTCATGTCCTTACATTTCAAAACCAATCATGCCTTCCCAACATTCCCTCAAAATCTTAACGTATTTCAGCATTAACTCAAAAGTTCACAGTACAAAGTCTCATCCGAGACAAAGCAAGTTCCTTCTGCCTATGAGCCTGTAAAATCAAAAGTTAGTTACTTCCTAGATACAATGGAGGTACAGACATTGGATAAATATGGCCATTTCAAATAGGAGACATCGGCCAATACAAAGGGGCTGTAGGCCCCATGCAAGTCCGAAATCCAGTGGGGCTGTCATATCTTAAAGCTCCAAAATGATCTCCTTTGACTCCATGTCTCACATCCAGGTCATACTGATGCAAAAGGTGTGTTCCCAGTCTTGGGCAGCACCTCCCCTGTGGCTTTGCAGGGTGTAACCCCCTCTCCTCCACCGGCTGCTTTCATGGGCTGGCATTGAGTGGCTGTTGCTTTTCCAGGTGCATGGTGCAAGCTGTCATGGATCTACCATTCTGGGATCTGGAAGACAATGAACCTCTTCTCACAGCCCTGCTAAGTCGTGCCCTGGTAGGGACTCTGTGTGGGAGCTCTGACCCCTTATTTCCCTTCTGCACTGCACTGGCAGAGTTTCTAGATGAGTGCTTTGCCCCTGCAGCAAACTTTTGCCTTGGCATCCAGGCTTTTCCATACATCTTCTGAAATCTAGGCAGAGGTTCTCAAACCTCAATTCTTGACTTCTGTGCACCTGTGGGCTCAACACCACGTGGAAGCTGTCAAGGCTTGGGGTTTCCACCATCTGAAGCAACAGGTTGAGCTGTACCTTGGTCCCTTTTAGTCATGGCTGGAGTAGTTGGGTTGCAGGGCACCAAGACCCTAGATTGCACACAGCACAGGGACCCTGGGCCAAGCCCACAAAACCATTTTTCCTTAGGCTTCCAGGCCTGTGATGGGAGGAGCCACCATGTAGAATTCTGACATGCCCTGGAGACATTTTGCCCATAGTGTTGGGAATTAACATTTGGTTCCCTGTTACTTAGGCCAATTTCTGCCACAGGCTTGAATTTCTCTTAGGAAAATGGGTTGTTCTTTTCTGTTGCACCATCAGGCTGCAAATGTTTTGAACTTTTATGCTCTGGCTCCCTTCTAAAACTGAATGCCTTTAATAACTCCCAAGTCACCTTTTGAATGCTTAGCTGCTTAGAAGTTTCTTTCCCCAGATGCCCTAAATCATCTCTCTCAAGTTCAAAGTTCCACAGTCTCTAGCTCAAGGGCAAAATGCTGCCATTCTCTTTGGTAAAACATAAAAAGAGTCACCTTTGCTCCAGTTCCCAACAAGTACCTCATCTCCATCTGAGACCATCTCAGCCTGACTTTATTGTCCATATCGCTATCAGGCTTTTGGTCAAAGCCATTCATCAAGTCTCTAGGAAGTTCCAAACTTTTTCTCATTTTCCTGTCTTCTTCTGAGGCCTCCAATCTGCTCCAACCTCTGCCTGTTACCCAGTTCCAAAGTTGCTTCCACATGTTTGGGTATTTTTTCAGCAGCACCCCACTCCTGGGACCAATTTGCTTTATTAGACTGTTCACACTGCTGATAAAGACATACCCAAACCTGGGCTATTTACAATCAAACGAGGTTTAATTGGACTTACAGTTCCACGTGGGTGGGGAAGCCTCACAATCATGGTGGAAGGCAAGGAGCAGCAAATCATGTCTTAAATGAATGGAAGCAGGCAAAAAGTGAGCTTGTGCAGGGAGACTCCCATTATTCAAAATCATCAGATCCGGTGAGACTTATTCACTATCATAAGAACAGCATGGGAAAGATGTGCCCCCATGATTCGATTACCTCCTACCAGGTCCCTTCCACAACATGTGGGAATTTAAGGTGAGATTTGGTTGGGGACACAGCCAAACCATATTAATGGAGATAACTAACTAGACCTACATGTCAATATTAACATTAAAAATACCTACTATTTATTCTGCATTTACAATGTGTAGTTACTGTTCTAAATATTCCACTTATGCTCACATATTTAATCCTCATAAAAACCTTATGTGGTCAGCACTGTCATTAATCCCATTTAAAGACACAAGGAGCTTAAATAATGTGCTATATTTCATCTAGCTAATATGTGACCAAGATAGGATTTGAATTCAAATAGTCTAGTTCCAAAGTCCAAGGTTTAAACCATGATGCTTCACTTCCTTCAAACTCCAAGGTAACTACTACATACAAAACTAAATTGACATATGATCGAAGTGACAGGTGAAAACATAGCTTTATATATAATTATTAGAAAACAAGAACTGGAGAAATACAGGAACTAAGCCCGCAATTCAATAACATAGTTTAAAAAAAAAACAGTGAAATAAACCTCTAAACAACAGAAGGAAGGAAAGAATATATTTTAAACCAGAAATTACTGAAATAGGAAATTAATAAGTTAAAGCAGCAGAATTGACCAATAAAAAGAAAAGCAAAGTTCTTTGAAAATATCAATTGTCTTTCAAAAGACAAGCCTTTGGCAAATATAGTTAAGAGCTAACTAAATAGAGAAGACACAGAGAAAAAAACACATTCAGAATGAAAAATGTTATGAGTTCAGGTCTACAGGAGCTTAAACTAACATTTCAGAGAACACTATACGCAGCTTCATACCAAAAAAAATGTAAACCTAAACATTTTTGAAGAAAACTATAAATTGTCAAAATTTACCCTAGCAAAAATATAAATAGAATAAAATAAAAATAGAAAATATGCATGAATTAAGACAGTCATAGAATAGTTCGTGTAGCAGAGCATTCTCCATTTTCCTTCAAAAAAGCAGGAAATCTTACTAAAACAATAACATTAGAAAAAAATGAAAACAGTTGATAAAGATTTACCCTTAGCAAAGTCAAAAGCTCC
Organism: Homo sapiens; assembly: GCF_000001405.40. Classification (NCBI taxonomy): domain Eukaryota; kingdom Metazoa; phylum Chordata; class Mammalia; order Primates; family Hominidae; genus Homo; species Homo sapiens. The sequence goes on from NC_000012.12 coordinate 72,954,419, forward strand.
AGGGCATGTTACAGAAACTTTTAAATAAAATTTCAAGTGAAGGATAATTTCAATTTTAGAGAAAGTATTTATGAAACATGGAAAATTATGGGAAGTTACATACTTTTATTTTATAATGCTCACATTTATCTGATGAAAAACTGAATGAAAACAGCATAGAGTAGAAAACTCATGGTCAATTTTACACCTGAGCAATATATTAAGGTATAAGCAAACTAAAATATTTCTGTTTGAGAGTGTGTGTGTGTGTGTGTGTGTGTGTGTGTGTGTGTGTGTATGCTTTACAAATATGGCTGAATACTCACACTCAGTAAGACCTATAATATTGATCTGAAATCTTCGGTCATGTAAGCTCAGGGAAGTATTTCTCTACCATAGGTTTAATTACTGGTTTTGATCATTAAAAACACCAATTATCTTTAGTTCAACTAGCATTTGCTGTCCTTACTTTAATGCCTTTTTTCTTTATGTGCTTTAGGAAATTATCTGTATTTTTTTTCTGCATGTTACTGATTACATTTCCTAGAGTATTATTATATTTCCTGCTTGCATTACATGTTTATTTTGCAAATTTTGCATTTACTCATTTCTTTTCTTATTACGTGTAGCTTTTTAAAAAATCTCTATTTTAGGAATGCCTTTTTATCTTAGTTTATTGCCTTCTCATGTCAGCTTCCATATACCAATTTCTTATATTTTTAGGTGTTTTTAAAGTCTATTGAGATCACAATCACATGTGTTCTAAAATTTATACTTTTTATCTGTAAAAGTATATTTTATTTTTAATAGAAATTGGAAAATATTTTTTTAAATCTTATATGTATGACAAAGTTAACTACTAACTTCAAAATTCCCAAGTTCATAACACATGTAATTAACAAAGTATTACAAGATAGTCCATAAAATATTTAAAGGGTAATATTTATTGTTGTCTCTGTTATAAAGGTTTATCAAAAACAAAAATAATGTGTGTATTTTGTAAAGCATTCGACTGAAAACATGTTTCCTATAGATTATTATTTAATACAAACAGCTCTTTTACAAAGCTAAACTAAAACAAATAAACCAACAAACAGAAATGCATATTCCAAGTCAACATGTTTTTCTGGAACATACCAGATCTACATGAATGTGGCAAGTATGTAAAACGATCAGGTGCATAGTTCACTGTCTTCTTTATTCATATAAATATATATGTATGTATGTCACATCTATCTATCTATCTATCTATCTATCTATCTATCTATCTATCTATCTACCTACCTATCTATCATCTATCTATCTATATGTTTTAGAAGAGCCATATTTGGTGATTTTCACCATCTTGATTCCAAGATGAAAGTGTAATTTGTGAGCAAATGGACAAATATATCTTATTAATATTTAGTCATGGTTTCCATGCATATATGCACACATCTACCTTAATTTAATTGTGGAAATTGAAAATAGAAATACCTTCAGGTTAACATAAATTTTAGAAGAGAATAGCACTCATTAAACTGAAAGGTAAGCAGAAATAAAACTGCACAACAAATAACGTGTCCAGGATTCAAGTAAATAAATGTTTAGAAAATATGCATGAATTAAGACAGTCATAGAATAGTTTGTGTAGCAGAGCATTCTCCAATAATCCATTGAGTCTCTATTTTACTAACTTGATATGTGGAAGATTTTGAGATACAAACAATAGTTGTTCCAGTACAGGCCTCATAATCATATTTATCATATTTATGATTAACTTGGTGTGTCATAATCTATTTGAAGTATTCTGAAATGTTAGTATTTGTAACAGGATTTTATGTATTAGTCCTCTTTAGTGTTTATGTCCGAATAACGTTTCCTTCCTTCCTTCCTTCTTTCCTCTTTCTTCCTTTATTTTCACTATGTGTATAGGTATGTGTCAAGCATATTTATCTTAGTAAGCTATAATATAATACATTTGGAATCAATCAAGTAAAATGTAATTTCACATTATTGTTTTACTTATTTGCCTTCCTTAAATACTTGAGAAATAAGCAAATAAACATTTTACATCTGAAAGAGACTTCCTATATGTCTGTTGTTTAAAAAGTTCAACTTTATTGAATGTCATATTCATACACCCTTCTTTTGTTAAATTAGGAACTCATTTCTACTTTTTTAAGTCATTGCACAATTTCTGACAACTAATTCAAAAGCCTTTCCTATGATCATATTTATGCTAGATGCATTGAAAATAGTAAAATTTTATATAAAATAAAATATATTGTACATATTCTCAACTAAATATAACTAATTCTCTAGATTTTAAAAGTAACACAACTATATTACACTTTTTTAAACAATTAAGAATTAATGTTTAATAAATTTACATAAATTTTAAACCTTCTCATCTGAATTTATGAACTTCACCTATTCATATTTGGCTACAAAATTTGTTTGAACTGAAGAAAACAATATCTATTATGAAATTTTATTTGTAGTTTGAAACATTATCTTTAGATCTGATACCACTTTCTAGAAGATCAATGCTATCTTGAATAATGTTTTCCTGAAACCTAAGGCTTCATTTTTATGACTTTCTTTCTCAGTTAAAAATTCAGTGAAAGTATTTTTTTTTAATTCCAGGGTTCTCTGATGAGCGATGTTTTCTTATTTTTGGACTATTTTCCACAGCAGCCCACTATTGCTAAATTTTTTAATTAGGAATTTAAATGTTCCAGGTCTTTCCTTAAGAATCAGAATAATTAGATTTCAGATCACTAGATCTGAGCTTTTCTGAGTTTTGCATGCAAAGTCCTGCTGACAGCCACTTATTTCAATCACTGGATAAAAGGACTCACTCCAGTTGCTTTGCCATTACCTGTTCTGTTTTTGAAGAAATAGCTGCAAATTCTTCATCTATAGTCTTGCAAGCCGGATGTTCATATTACTCTTTTGGAAACCCTGGAAACCTGGCAAGCTTCTTCTATTTTAATTTTCTCAGTGATAATTCCTCTCTTTCTCTCCATGTAGACTTTAAGATTCTTTAAATATATTTCTTAAGGTGATTTATGAAGAAATGTCTCTATCCAGATCAGTCTATGCCTAATTTTGTACAAAGCATGCTTATTTACACAAAATTTAAAAGTGGACCCATGACGTACAAGATGCTTTAATGCTTTTTTTTTTCTTTTTTTGAAAACCCTTTCATTGTGAATCAAATCTCTGACGTATTACAGGGTATTTTCAAATTTCTTTCTCTGTATGTATCACCACTCATCTGAAGGATATGACTAATCAGGTTAGCCAATTTCTTCTTGGTTTTCAGTAGTTCTTTCACTTTGTTCAAGTCAATATTGTGGCAATCACTTTTTTCACACATTCAGATACCAGGTATTATTAACGGCATTCAGCACATTTCCTCTATGCTTTGGTGAATCCAGGAGAGATGAGGTGACTACATTTAATGGTATGAGCTTGAGTACATGCTTTTGGTTCCCTGGAGTACTAAACATCTAATCTCATTAATTTTTTCTTATGTTGTATACAAAGGTGTTGACTGTGCATTTCACAATATTTAATTAAAGTTCTTAGACCTTTCTTTTTTAACATTTCTACCAAAAGATATTTCAATACATATGGGAAGGCAAGTAGAAATCACACAGTTGGCAAGTAAAGAAGCCAGAGGTTGGTGTTAAAATTGAAGCCTTATAACCCAGTGTCCCAAAACTTTTCATAACCTTCTGATTTAAACCGTATTAGCCATGCCCACTTGACCTATGACTTTCTAAAATTTCTCTAGTCTTCCTTTACAGAACAACTAGATATTATCACCACATTGTTGAAGGCGTACATTTTTAAAAAAATATATATAGTGTCCTGTGAAAGCTTGATGACATTTCTGGAAAAAGACATAACATTTTTAAAGAAATGCAGGCTTTTCCTCTCTCTTTCCCTGAAATGGCCTCAAGCATAAAAGCCTAAGCTCTGAATCCAAGTTTATTGACAAAAGATGTTCTGTCTGCTTTTAGTCATCATCAAGAACATCTTCTGAACCATGATGTGAAAGATACAAAGTGGTGGTCGGGCCTCTCCCGTCAACACCACCAGAAGTGATATCTCTTTGCATTTTTGCCTCATGCTCTGGTGTAGAGTCTCAGACACGACCCACCCACACCAGACACTGCCCACAGAATTTTGAAACACTATTAACTCAGGAGCACTAGCAGTGACAAAGACCCACTGTATTCCCTAAAGCCAACCCTTCTGTACCTGCTTTCAATCTAAGTGTAAACTCCCTTCCTCATCTCTCAGTTTCCATCTCCTTCATTTGTCTATTAAGAGATCACATCAGGGATATTTTGCTCTGACTATATTTTGTTAAATTTGAAAATACTTTGAGGGCAAGATCTATTCACAAGATCTAAGTTCTTTTCTTTTCCTTATATTTTTGTTATTTTCTATTGTTGTCCTTTATTCTTCCTGACACAAGACATATTTACCTTGATCTGTTGGTAGCCAATAAACAGGATCAATAAATTCTCATTGACCACCTTACCCCCCACCCCCAGAGATTGTGGATATTATTGAAATCCAATTAGATTTTTAGAGGAGAGATTGTTGATGTGCACAGACTGTAAGTAAATTTTTTCATGCCTATGTTGTTTATCAAATTTTTTTTGTAGGGCAAAGAAGAAAACTTTTGCTCTCAGAGACTAGAAGCATGACAGAAAGCTACCCTTAGGTGATTTGGACTGGTTTGAAGTGCATGAAACAACAAACAGGGTATGGACACCTGTAACTGCTATTGCTCCCGTGGCTTCTAGTATTTCCATCCTTCCTAATGTGAAGCTCACAGCTTGGGTTATAATGCACCATCAGTTGCTAATTTCTGCCTTTGGTGATGTTACTCTATTGGAAAGTGTATCCAAAAGAATGTAGAAGAAAAGCTAGTAATTACTTCCGAATGGAGCTACATAGATACTGTGCTTGCTATAGAGTTAGAAGAACCTTCAGTGTGAAGTATCTGGGCTTTTCACACAGCAGAATTTAGTTGGGGTTAGTGCAATAACTTCTTCAGTCTCACTATCTGGCTGTTTCATCTCAGTCCATAACATGTTTTTGCTACTGAAAATTCCTCCTGAGTCTTGGTGGATTTGATAAATATTGAGAATTTCAAATTCTGTCACAATTTACTTTCTGAAATTCTTCTCTGTTCAATGCCTACAGAATGTATTTATCTCTGTGCTTTTATAGCAATTATGACAGAACTTGTATAACATTTGTCAAATAGTATCACGTTTGTTCTTAACCATTTTAAAGAGAGAACATGACTGTGCAGTAATGGCTGCTTGATTCAGAGGCATTTGGCCTTACTGTATCTGATTATGCATCCATAAAAGCTCGAGATTTTCCACCTTATGACCAGCCCATCATGTTTTGTTAACACTATTGATTGCTTTGGTTTGGCACCAATTGACCTAGCATGTCATCACCGTCAATGTCAGCATCTTTCACATTTAATACACAATTGTAAATGTAAGACTTGCTCATTACTGCAGAGGATCTTAATTACACCCAAAAGATCATAAAGAAGGAGGTTATAAGTAGTACTTGGAGGTGTTTCTTTTCACATAATAATTTGGGAACTCCTTGATGTTATGAATCTTATTCACCTTCTTATCAGCAGATTGTGGCCCAGGGGAAGTAATTTTTAATCATTTACTGAATGGAATTGAAATGTTAAGTATATATATTTGGTGAGAAATATATTTTACCACTAAGAGATATAGCTAAATAATTTTAGAACATTTTAAAATTTATAAATTAATTTATTCAATAAAATTGTTTGCGTCTGCTATGTGCCATGCAAAGAGATTTTTTCAAAGCACTTATTTCAGATCTTGGTGATTTTTTAAAAAATAAATATTGGATAGAAACTTGAATGCTGCTAAGAAGAATGCTTTAAAAATATTGAGGTCATCAAGAGATCTTAAAGCTAAATTAATTTGTGTGGGCATCAATAGAATTGGAATTTTCTCTGGCCAACCAGTGTACAAGTTGGCCACTCGTAACTGGTTCTGACATTTGGCTTAACTTAGTCTTCTTTGTAATCAATTATATCCAAAATTATTGAAAAAAGTGAAAAAGGTAATAAACATAATTAAAAGGGAACATTATTTCAGGTGCCTCATTGCTTTTCCAGTATTTTTTCTTTAATCCTTTTTTAATTCTTTCTGACCTCAGAGTCAGGTTGATAGGCAAAAGATTGCCTAGGCGTGGGGCATTTAACGTCAGCTTTAGCCTTTCCACATTATTTTGGCGTGTTCTTGGGGGAAAACCTTCCAGTGCAGTGTAAGTAGAGGTCCATGGATTTATTTCCTCACTTCCAGGAGTTTAACTGCGAATTGAGAAAGATTATAACCTCAACCTTCTTGTATTTATAGTCTCAACAGACTCAGAAAAGAGGATGTTGAGGTGCAGAGTAAATTTTAATTGAGAATATGGCTATAGAACTAGTATGAAATATTTACCTGAAAGGTGAAAATAAAGAAAGCATGGTTATTTTATTAATAATGCTGGTTGTAGAACAAAGATAAAGTTATAATTCCTGTTAAACTATTTTCAAGGATTGTTATCTATCATTAAAATGATGTAATGATAAATTTATTTAAATAGGCAGTATCCTCTTTGATCCAAACAGCTTTCCATATAGAAATAACTCATATGGAGAAATATGTATTGACAGATTCCTTTCAATCCTAGTATTCAATGCTCCTAAAGCTATTATGTCAACTAGGAGGCATTTTAGTAGATATAAAGTTCATAAGACTGTCAAATTGGTTCTCCACATCTGAGAAATCTGCATGCATTTTAATAGAGAGTTAATATATTAAGACATTCCAATTTGTTCTTTCCAGGAAGTTGGATTAAATGAAGGAAGGAATACATTATTTTTAATATATCAAGTAATTCAGAAATTAAGCCTTTGATGTTACAGAAAAATGTTATAATGTTTAATGCCAAGAAGAGTATCTGAAAATGAAAATATATAATATTTCAGAATTTATTTCACCAATGAAATCACTGGGCAGCATATTTCCATATAACTTTATGTATAATGTATAAAGCAAGCTTTGACATTTTTTTAGGTAGTTAATATCAAAAGAGAAACTATAAAATTTTGTCTGCAGCTGTCTATGGAATCTCATTGATAAGTGATAATGAAGTCCCAAGCCCTGTATTTTCTCTAATTTTTAAAAAATGGATATACTGGAAAATACATTTAAAGAGATCTTTTGGAGTAGCCAAAATGGTATTAAATACATGTTTTTCAGAATTGTTTTAATTGATCACAACTTCTATGGAACCCTTTAAAGTTGCTTTTTGAGGCAAATTTTGAGTAACTAGATTGTCAGTGTCCTCTTTCATTTACCTAAGTTGGCATTAAATAATGTTTGTCTGTTTTAAAAGAACAATTTACTCTCATAAAAGAAACTATTGGTCTGAGGTACTCAAAATAATATACTACAAATTCCGAAAGAGTTCAAAAAACATTTTGAACAAAGGTGTTGTTGTAAGAATTTCCCTTCTGATTTAACAATTTGTAATATTACCAAATACCGCATATTCTCACTCATAAGTGGGAGTTGAACAATGAGAACACATGGACACAGGGAGGAGAACATCACACACTGGGGCCTGTCAGGAGGTCAGCAGGCAAGGGAAGTGAGGGCATTAAGACAAATATCTAATGCATGAGGGGCTTAAAACCTAGATGATGGGTTGATGGGTGCAGCAAACCACCATGGCACGTGTCTATGTAACAAACCTGCACGTTCTGCACATGTATCCCAGAACTTAAACCAATTTTTTTTTTGAAAATGTGGGCCGGGCATGGTGGCTCACGCCTGTAATCCCAGCACTTTGGGGGTCGAGGTGGACGGATCACCTGAGGTCAGGAGTTTGAGACCAGCCTGGCCAACATGGCGAAACCTCGTCTCTACTAAAAATACAAATTAGCTGGGCATGGTGTCGTGTGAGCCTGTAGTTCCAGCTACTGGGGAGGCTGAGGCAGGAGAATCGCTTCAACCCAGGAGGCAGAGTTTACAGTGAGCCGAGATAGCACCATTGAACTCCAGCATGGGCAACAAGAGCAAGACTCCATCTAAAAGAAAAAACTAAAAAAAAAAAAATTGATGGATTTTTAGACGCATTTTCTAAAATATCACTGATGTTACTATAATAGTCAAATCACATGGGCTTGTTTTTTGCTATTGTTTTGAAATTTTTCTTGAATAAATGTCAGAATTGCACTATTTTTTTTTCAATATTTCAGACATGCATAGCACTTGGAGTGTAATATACTTTAGGGCTTTAAATCTCAGTTGTCCTACACATGTGGAATGAAAGAACTGATGTTCAGCCAACTCGTCAGTTCTTTTTTTTCTAATGTATCACATTTGATAGATGATATTAGCATGCATGACATATTCCCAAAAACTCTAATTGTAACTCCACTTTCCCTTCCAAAGAAATGAAAGAAAGAGAGAGAGAGAAAGGAAGGAAGGAAGGAAAAAGAAAAGAGAAGAGAAAAGAAAAGAAAAAAGAAAAGAAGGGAGGGAGGAAAGAAGGAAGGGAGGAAAGAAAGACAGGAACCGTCAACATTTCATCAATAGAAACAAAATACATGAAGAATATCTCATAACTGGTTGACTCACGTAAATTCTTGGAGAACAGCAGAATTCGGAGCTAGCAATCTAGGATATCAATACATGACTCAGATTAACTGAATGTCAGCGGAATCTATTCTATGCCAACATACAGATATGGAGAATATACTTAACGCATTTGTTCATTAAGAGGTCCATCTTTATATCCCCACAGTGTTGTTGCTGATGCGCAGCTTGGCTTTCTTTCATCTGTGTCATGCAAGTACCCACTTCTTTTTTCATCTTGCTTTAGGGGTGAATGACTGAGAGAGTAACCTGTTTGATAGTACTGTATAGACTTTTTCAACCTCTTCGTTCTTGTAGACATTCTTATTATCCTTTCCCATATATCAGGATGGGGTGTTTTTCCATCCTTTTGCATATCTCCTGATCTTATAAGGACCCCTGATGTATATAGCCTCACTTGGAAATAATTAGTGCCTACTATGTTTATTCCTGGAAAATAATTCTTTTCTGTCTTCTGAACACATTTCAAAGCAAGCTCTCTCTTTTAGGTTCTTTAATTCAGGGCACTCTTTTTTCTTCTTTTTTTTTAATGTTACCTCTTTGATGTTATCTTTGAAATCGTAGCACTTGTCGAAATACCTGGCTTTCAGTAAGCTTCATAAATGCTTGTGGATTGAGGGAGTGATTCAGTCTTGCACTGCTGATCTAGCTCATGCAGGTCTGGAAGATTTTTCTCTGATTTTCCTCATTCTTGCTAGCTCCTATTAGCACTTGCTTGTCTGAGGTTTTTATATGTCCTTGTTCACTGCGTTCATTATAGTTCACAAGAAAATCTTTAACAACACTGTTCAAACCCTAGCAATCCATAGACCAACTCAGGCACTGCTTACACACTGCTTTATACTATCCTCAGTTTGAAAGTCTTTAATTGGATTATTCACGTTCAGTTTTATCACAGTCGTTACAATTTCTCATTGTTTTATATAGGCCCCATCCACATGGCTTTGTTATCTGCCTGGTTGTGGTGGACAATGAGATCTTGACTCCAATCTAATTTATGTCTGCTAAGAACTAATTATAATGTGCAGGGAACAGGTCAATAAAATTTATTCAAAGAAGAGGAGGAGGAGGAGAAAAAGAAAGATAGTTAAAATTTGAACGATAAATATTTAAACATTCTAAAAACAGAAAATGGACATCTATAAACTCAGCTGCCACATTTGCCTCTGATTTATTTTTGAGAAATAAAATCTTATACTCTAAACTCTCCTCCTCTACTTGCCTTCCTTCTCAAAGCAAACAACTATCAAACTTACTATATATCTTTTCTCTGAAGATTTTTATTACTGTTCTTGCATACATTTGCATCCATAATAAAGTTTAACATTCTTTCCTAAATCCTAACATATTAGACTACCTTAAAAAGCTTTTCTTCTTTTTCAGCTAATGTTATGTTTTAATACATTATTATTTTGATACTTGAAGACTTAGTTTACTTGTTTTCACAGTAGTGTAGTGATAGACTGAATATAGAAATGGGCAATAGCCATAGTATGAACAAAAATAGAACTTTGACTCACAACCTCTGCATCAGTCAGCCCAAAACAGTAAATTACTTGGTCAAATAACTGTTCGCTTCTCTAATTTTGTTCCTGTTTCCAACTCAGGACCAACCAGAAAAAGTTATATATGCTGCCCTTACCAATTACATAGATGCTTTGCTTCTAGTTAGCCCACTTTCAGCTTTCCCTTTCCAACAACTTTCAATCACAGAACACTTCAAACATTCCCCTTCTTCTACCATAACATTTTCCCACTCCCCTCCCTGCCTTTGAGTCTCTGCCAAATAAGCGATGGTAGCTGACTCCCTTGCTGGAGCAATCTCTCAGTAAATAGCCTTTGCTTGTGTTCATTTTGGAAGTCTTTATTTGAACAGTAGTACAGTCATGTGTCAATGACATGGATACATTCTGATGAATGTGTTATTAGGTGATTTTGCCATAGTGAGAACATCCTGGAGGGTAGTTACACAAATCTAGATGGTATAGCCTGCTACATACCAGGCTATGTGATATAGCCTATTACTCTCAGGCTACAAACCTGTATAGCATGTTAATGTGCTGAAAACTATAGGCAACTGTAACTCAAAGGCAAATATTTGTGTATATAAATATGGCTAAACATAGAAAAGGCATAGTAAAAATATGGTATTATAATCTTATGAGACCACTGTCATATATGCAGTCCATCGCTCACTGAAATGTCATTATGTGGCCCATGACTGTCTTCAGATTCTACATCCATTCTCACAAAATTCTAAGTAAACTTATTCTCACAAATATTCTAAGTAAACTCTTGCATATATATGTATATATATTTATGTTCATATATATGCAAGAGTTTATTTAGATATGGACATAAATATATATATATATATGGATATTATATATATGGATATATATGCAAGAGTGTACTTAGACTATTTGCCATAAAATGAAATGATAGTTTAGATTAGTTATTACTTCAGCTTTGTTTAACTCTTCCCAAATTGCTATCCAAGCTTTGAACAAATTTACTTTTTACCAGTAAGAGTTTCTGTTTCCCAAATCTTTATCAATAATTAGTCTTATCAGACTTTTTATTTTTTGGCAATTACCAGGGATACTGCAGGCTAGGGCAGTAATAACAAAAAAAAATCAACAGCTTCATTTAATAAAAAATGTTTTATTATTCATGTAGATTACATTGCTGTTCTGAGTATAGACCAGTTTGGAAGGGAGATTAATATTGTCAAAAATAAAATCAGATCAAAAAAAAATTGTAGTTTATTGTGTATACAAATGAAACATTCACAAACTGGGAGACCTCAAACCAAAGTGGTACGTCCTGGTCAGAGCAGTTACAGTGCAGCATGTAAAGCATAAATGAGGGCATACATTGATTTTTATTGGGATTGGCTATCATAAACTTACATTCCTTTTAGGCAAGTAGAACTGTTGAAACTTATTGATCTGTCACTGATTTGTTTAATTTGGCTGATTTATGCTGTCAAAGAACAGAAAGATTATGTTTTGTGTTTTTTAAAAAATAATTAGAGCTAGCATTTTGGGGAAAATCACAATAACTTGAGTTTTGGCTATGTGGCTATAGGCTGTTGGCCTTGAGATATCTAAACTATATCCTCCATTTTAAATTTTGTAAACCATATCTTAACAATATGGAGTATTCCAATATATGAACATTTACTAGGTCTTTAAAAGTTTGTGATGCAGATTTCTGTGAAAGTCTTACATATTTTTTGGCAAATTTATTCTTTAATATTTTATGTTTTAAGAGATTTTGTAAGTGCTATCTAAACTTTTGAAAACTAACTGCTAGTATATAGAAATATTATGTTTTGTATAAACACCTCGTATCCAGTTGCCTTGCTAGAGTCACTTATTAATTCTAATTTGATAGATCATTCTGAAATTTTTGGTCATCTGAAAATTTAAATAGTACTTCTTTTTCTCTATCTTTAGGGTTTCTGTTTGAGACAGGGTCTCACTCTGTTGCCTGAGTGAGAGTGCAGCAGCATGATCAGCTCACTGCATTCTTGAACTCCTGGCCTCCACTAATCCTCTCAAACTCAGCCTCCTAAAGTGTTAGAATTACAGTCCATTTGTTAATCATAGGTTTAAAAATATCTTTTCCTATGCCTGTCTTTTCAATGTGTTGATTTTATCCTTTGACATACTGAAAACTTTAATTTTAATGACGTGAATTAGACTTATTTTCCTTAAACTAATTCTCTAATGCCAATAGTCTTTTGTTTATTTTATTTATTTATTTATTTATTTATTTATTTATTTATTTAGAGACAGAGTCTCACTACCATTGCCCAGGCTGGACTACAGTGGTGCAATCTTAGCTCACTGCAGCCTCAACTTCCCGAGCTCAGGTGATCCTCCCACCTTAGCCTCATGAATAGCTGGGAGTACAGGTGTGCGCCATCACACCCAGCTAATTCTTGTATTTTTTGTAGAAACGTTTTGCCATTTTGCTCAGGCTGGTCTTGAACTCCTGGGCTCAAGTGATCTGCCAACCTCAGCATCCCAAAGGGTTAGGATTATAGGCATGAGGCACTGTACCCAGCATATTTTCATAAAGCCATATTTAACCTGATATTAATAACTATATACTTAGTTTATTTTGGGTAGTATTTAACCTAAATGTATTTTTAAATCCATTTATTTTCAATATTAGGAAACCTTTGACTTTCAGATGTGTCTCCTTTAAAAAATATATTGCTTAAAAAAATGAAAATGCATTTCTTTTAACATATATGCTTAGTTTATTTATATTTATTGAAATATTTAATATCTTCAGACATTTTTATTTACTTTGTTCTTTTTCATTAGTACATTTTGTTGATAATCTTTTATACATTTTCTTGTCTGCTTTTGTTTTTTCATGTATTTCATTCTTATGTATGTACATATTTATTTTTATTCAGTTTTTCAAAATTTATGTTCCTTATTTTTTTGTAATGCTCATTCTTAAAAAAGTATCACAAATATTTAGCACATGTAGATTTATATAAATTTCCTTATAATTTCTCTCTGGTTTTAGGGGTATCCAGGAACATATTTTTAATCTTTTATATCAATTTGATCTTTTGTACCAAAGTTTATACACATGTAGCTTGGAAGTTATTTTTCTGTTGTTCCAATTTTATCTTATTTTTATAAGAAAACTCTAGTTCTAGGTGATATGAATGATTTCATCTTTGTTGCAACTTCTTTTTTATCTCAGCAAATGATTAATATTTATAAATTTTCTATATAACTTTAAAAAAGATCTTTAAATATTTGGTTTGACGTATATATAAGTTGATATTGGCTAATATTAGCTGACATATAAGAGATGATAATAACTCATTAACTGAGTTGATTAATTTTCTATATATTACTAATTTGATTTAGTTTTCTTATTTCTATCTTTCTGATTGTGTTATATTAAAAATAATTGTTATAAATGTGCATTTTTAAATTCATCCTCATAATTCTGTTTATTTTTACCTTATATATTTGGAGGCTATATTGTTGGATGCATGAAGTTCAGCATTGTTATATTTTTCTACATTTTTTTCTTTTTGCTGTTTAATGCTTTATCTCTAAAACACTTTATTTCTAATAATGCTTTTTTTTTTACAGATGCCTAAACATCCTTTATTACAAACAGCTATGAGAATTTTGAGGCCAAGGATATGATTGCAACAGTAAGGTTTGATTTACATGGATAAGCTTTCTTCCCCATGAAAACACTATGTGTCACTTCACACTTTGTCTAACACACACACTTAAATCTCCACCGTATCTGGCACCCTATCTGGCACCCTATCTGAATTTCTGTTCCTTGTCTGTCAAACGAATTCCATAACTTTCTTGTCTCCTTTTATTTTTAAAGTAATAATCCAATTTAAAGCTTCAATTTCAAATTAAATCTAAATTGTACTTTCTTATATTGAACAACTTCAGTCCGTTGCTCAAGGAATTTCAAGTGCAAAAGTTGTTCTAATCTATTCTTTCTCATTCGGTAAGTCCTGCAGGTTCCAGGATGCCTGAAAACATGTATATGTGACAAGTTCCCAGGTAATTATGCATTTGGATTGCGAATCACACTGAGTAGCTATACACAGAAAACACAGTTTTGCTAGTGCAACTGGCTGCATTTTATTTCTTTGCTGTTCTGGTTCAGTTAGATTTTTTCTGCTGATGGTGGCTTCCCACTGATGTTCTGGTGATATAGATGTCATCTGTGGCTATTTGGAATGGTGTTCAGTATTATTCTGAGCTCACTCTCTTACCAAGAACTGCTCTGTTCAGATTTACATAAACTCATTTGGCTCCATCAGTAGGTAATGCTACCAATGGCATGGCACTGAAGCTATGTGGGCAATCCCATGTCACTATCTCATTACTCATTATTCAATTTCTTTATGAGACTCCAATGAGAACTGAAATGAGGTGAAGATTTTCCCATGTACTCTCCAGACACACAACTCCTCTGTTCTGCTTTGTGTTGCTGTAAATCCACTAATCCGACATGCCTTTTGCCTCAGTAGAGTACCCAACGAGTGAGTGAGATGCAAGTCTTTCTTTCTTTACACTTCCAACATCCACTGTACACTTGATCCACTTGGGCCCTCTCTTGCCCAAAAAAATCATGTCTTGTTTTTCATAGGGTAGATTTATTGCTGGAAAGTGACTGACCAGTCAGGAACTGCCTTTCCTTGCTCTCTTTGCCTACAGATGTGCCTATCTGACTAGTTCTCACCAGTGTGGATAGAAGTCATACGTGTTACTAATATTTCTAGTTATGGTTTCTAGTGCTAATCCTAAGACCACAGGGAAAATTCAGCTCAATATTCAATTACACATAAGTTAAAGTTTACAAATGTTCCTACCATTATCACAAAAATGAAGACTTTAATTCTTACTTGCCTCCTATGTTAAACATATCTTTAGTAATACTTTAAACTCTCCTCCAAATAATTTTATTTTTAAATGTCTGTGCTTATTCAGGTTTATCCATGCTTATTAATTGTTTTGTCTAACTTTGCTATTTGCCTCTCATGCTTTGTCAGGCATTGTTTATATGTGACCCATCCAATATCCTTCTTATCCTCTGTACTTAGAATGGTGCACAGCAGAGTAGTCCACATGATGTAATTTTGGCCAATGAGATACAAACAGAGGATATTTGTTAAGGATTCTAGGAAATGCATTTTCCTGATAAAAAGGGACAACCTTATTGGTATTTGATGATTCTCCTTCACAACTTCCCTCTTTCTTCCTGACTAAAAATGTGGATGCAATATCTGGAGATACAAGAGCTAACTGGAAAGCATAAGGAAGACAGTCAGTTGTTAGAAAAAGAAAAAAGAGAGAAAGAGGATAATAGAAAAATGCTGTAATTTGGATGACATTTTGTAGTTGCAAATCTCTGAAAATCTCTGAACTTCCTACATCTGAACTTATTCTCATGTGCTGAAAATAAACTTTTATGGTTTAACATTACACCCTTGTTTGGGGATCTCTCTTACATGCAGCTGAATTCAATTCTGATGGATACCCCCCTTCTTCTTTCTATATACTTCTTACTGCAGAATATCCTACAAGGGCATTTTTGGTGCAAGACTAGAAGTCATAAAGTCTTGTTGTTTGTTTGTTTTGTTTTAATTTTTGTCCTAACATATCTTTATTTAGCTATGTTCATTTCATAATATAGAATTACAGGTTGACGATTATTTTCCCTGAGCTTCTAGAAGCTATTTTGAGCTGTCTTTTTAAATCTAGAAAACTAAATTTTCATTCATATCTTTTAAGCTTAGCTGAATATCTAATGGCTGTTTTCTTAATAAGTGTATTGTCAGTAGAAGGGAAACCATACGAGGCTATTCTACCATGTTGCAGTAACAAAAATATAACCACTACAGAATTATATTTGATAAGATCATGTTCTGAAATTACTTTTGATAACTCCCCATCATGAGGATGAGATGGTGGGTGGTTGAGGAGGTGAGAAATATAATAAATACAATTAAAAAGACAGAATTTTTATTAAATTTGAGTTCTTGGGGTTCAGTTTTTTGAGCCTACAAAAATAGATTAATATTGAGGCAATCTGTAGGTGATCCACTACAACAATAAAATTAAGACTTTTAGTAAAGCCAATATTTTTAGTCCTAAATCAACAATAGCATAATAACTGATATTCAACATAAAAAATTTATTAAAGATATCTGGTTAATATGACGCAAAATAGGCTATAACTGAAGCATTATGATAAAATTATTCCAAGAAACAATAATCTTCCAGTTTTGTTATCAGAGGACAATGATAATTTATAATTGTATACCAAATAGAATATTAGTATCTAGTGGATTTATGAAGGATTTTAGAGAAAATTGTGTAAATGATGACCTTTTATTAATGCTTCAACACTATTACCATAGCTCTACTGAGAGTCATATTATTTTTATGTTTTCCAGTATAGGACTTGTCCTACTTCAATGATTATGAAGTAAACATTAAAATTGTATTAGAAACTGTTTAGCTCCAAAAATTGTTTTTCTATTTTAAAATGTAAATATGGATATTCTTAGGGCTATGCTGGTAACTGTTTTTCCAGAAAAAAATAATAAAAGGCTAATTTTTATATTTGTTGATTTCTATCATGTAAATAGTTCCACCATAGCCAATTTCAAGTTTCCAGTGTGAGATCGCTGAGCACAAAGTTTGTAAAGAGCACCACTGTATCTTTTGAGCTGGTACAGGCCACAGGATATACTCATGTTCATACCAACTGTAAATCTATTTTTAATACTTTTGTTCTAGAAAGGATTTCAGGTGGCTCATATAATGTCCAATAAAACAAGATAAAGTAACAGTAAAATGATACACAATATTTACATAAGAAGATTTAGATAAAGCTAGAAGTTAGGTTAGTAAGGGCTTCAATACTTTAAAAGCATAAAATATTCTACATTTACTAACATTGGTTCTAGATTTTCAAACAACAGTGTAGCCATGTTTAGTTTTTGGAGTGAGAATGCCCTTAAAGTAAAAATGAACTTGTTGCTCAGGATCCTATGGTTAGAGAGAATCTTATCCTGAGAGCCATAATGAAGAGGACTTTGTGTAATGTTTTAAGGTACATTCTGAACCATAATGCAGTACATCTGACAGTGTACTTTGTAGGAAAAGCCATAGGCATTTCACATAACAGAAAGTGTAGGGGGAAATGGAGGTGGGGAGGATCCTACATCATATGGCCTAGTTATAACATTTCATAATAATCTGGTTTAATTTTATCTTCTAACATCTGTGATTCAATGGATAACATATTTTTCAGGAATAGGAGCTCTGCTGAGTTTAAGATTTGTCTCCCTGAGTAATACCTGTTAAAACCATTCTGTTTTATATGTGACTTATAATGAAATTAGATAATTATTAATAATGACCTCACTGGATGCTCACAAAAATATTTACAAAAAATTCTGGCAAAACACTGGGCTAAAGGAGGAGAACAGCCACTGTGGAGAAAGGCACAAAACCTCACCCAGGGCAAAAGCACAAAACTGCACCTCCTCTACAAAACAAAAGCCTTAAACTAGGGAAAGAAGCAGAGACAGCAACCAATGCCCTTAAGGCATTGCTGAAAACTTTGTGATTGGGGGAAGAAAAAACAGAAATGAAAACCTTTTTCTGTGTTGGAAGGGTAAGAATACCTATTGGGTCCAGAACTGGCACTGGGATAGGATCAGTACCTCTGAGGCCACACCATCCAGACTCAGAGGCATAGCGCTTTTCTATAACTTAGGCTAAATCAGTACAAGAGAGAACCATCATACCCTCGACCCCACCTCTCATAACACCAGTGTTGAATAACAAGTAGCAATGCAATACTGCTAAAAGAGATAAAAGAGCACAGAGAGATCCTTTATTAGGTGCAATGTAAAAGGATGATTTAGGATGAAGGTAAAATAGATACTGGAGGAAACCTCTCTGTGAACCAACCCCTACTCTAAAGACATGATGACACTAGAGGACTTTGAAGTTACAGTGCACTGAGAATAAAAATAGCAATGACAAATCTCAACACTGATCAATTAGTGACTAGATTGACCCAAATTCATGCACTAAATTTCTAAAATAGGACAAGGCATACCCATTTCTAGCCATAAAAGCTACTTACGTCAGTATCTATTGTCCTGTACAAATTGTCTGGCTTTAAATAAAAAATTATGAGTCATACAGAAAAGACAGAAAAAAACACTATTAAAAGACAAAGAAATATGACACTGATACTCAAACTATCAGAAGCTATTAGAGAGGAAATTCAAAGTATGCATGATTAATATATAGAAGGCTACATTGAAAAAAATATGAACAACATGCAATATAAGATAGATAATTTCATCAGGATGATAGAAACTATAGAAGAATCAGATGTACATGCTAGAAGTGAATACCAGAGTAACAGAGATAAGGAATGTATTTAACAGGCTTATCAGAACACTTGACACGTCAAAGAAAAAAAAAATCAGTAAACTTGAAGACGGGTCAGCAGAAATTACCCAAGTTAGAAGGAAAGAAATGAAACTCATTAGTCCTAGCTAAAGTTTGTCTACCAATAAAATGAATCTCCCTCCCCAAATCTACAAAAAACCTATAATTAATTAGTCAGTTTAGCCATGTCATTTTATATGCTACAGTTTGGATGTTTGTCTCCACCCAAACTCATGTTAAAATTGATTTGTCATTGTAACATTATTAAGAGGTAGAACTGTTAAGAGATAAATGGGATATGAGGGCTCTGTCATCATGAGCAAATTAATGACATTATTGCAAAAGGGGGGGTTATTATTACAAGAGTGAGTTCCTTATAAAAAAAGAAGCTGTGTTGCTTTTTGTTCTCTCTCACTCTCTCTTTGCCCTTCCATGATAAGATGACACAGCAAGAAGGCTTTTTCTGGACAGTGACCCCTCAATCTTGGGCTTCTAGGCCATCAGAACTATGTGCCAATAAATTTCTATTAATTACAAATTACTGAGTCTGTGGTATTCTTTCATAACAGCACAAAACAAACTAAGATATTACACAAGATCGATATTTTATTTCTATATACTATCAATAACTTTGGAATTAAAAAAACTACCATTTATAATACCACTAATAAGAAAATATTTAGATATAAATTTAACAAAACATGTGCAAAATCTGTGTTCTAAAAACTACAAAGCATTGATTAAAGAGTACAAAGAATGAATACCTAAATAAATAGATTTAATGTGTTCATGAACTGGAGACTCAATATTGTTATGATGTCAATGAAATTCTAATCAAAATCTCAGCATGATTTTATTGTAAATACTGAAAGACTGATTTTAAAATTTATACAGGGAGGCAAAGGAAATAGAACAGCCAAAAACATTTAACAAATAAGAATAAAGTTAAATTATTGAAACTACCTGATTTAAAAATTAAAAATGCAATAGCAATCAAGACATTGTGCTATTGATGAAATGATAGATTCATAGGTTAATGAAATGGAATAGAGCTTTCAGAAATAGACTCAAATTAATATAGTAAACTTTTAGAATAATGGTAAAAAGGGTAATTATGGAGAGAGAAGAGTAATTTTTTAAACAAATTGTGCAGAAAAATTGCATGTCCATGTGCAATAAAAATGAAATTTAACCCATACTTTTCAACTTATATAAAAATTAACATAGCTCTAAATGTTAAAATTATAAAACTTCTAGAAAAAGACATAGGAGACAGCCTTTGTTATATTGTGTTAGGCAGAAAGAATTCTTGGATAAGACATCAAAAGCACAATCAATAAAAAAAGAAAAAATCTGATAAACCTATCAAAATAAACAATTTTGCTCCATAAAATATACTGTGAAAGAAAAAAAAACATAAGCCATGTATTAGGAGAAAATATTTTCAAATCATATACCTGCTAAAGGATATATATCAGAATATATAGGAAATTTTGAAAGTCAACAATGAGAAATCAAACAACCTCCATCCCCTGAGAAATGGGCCATAAATTTGAGTAGGCATTCCATCAAGAAAGCATAGAGTTGGCAAGAAAGCATATGTAAAAGTGCACAAAACTATTAGTTCTTATGAAAATAAAAATTAAACTCAGAATGATATACCATTACACAAATATTAGAACATCAAAAACAAAAACAAAAAAATTAACTTACAATATGGAATGCTCATTGCAATGTGGAGTATTGGAACTCTCATACTTTACCTGTGGGAATACAAAATGATACAAGAATTTGGAAGTTTTTTGTAAGTTAAATGTACTTGTCTTATGACCCAGCTATCTCACTCCTATATATTTGCCCAAGAGAATAAAAATTTATGTTCACATTATAACGTATACATTAATATTTATAGCATACCTATTCATAATGTTAGAAACAAGAGCTCAGAGTCGCGAGGAAAACGAGCACTCAAATGAAGGATTTCTCAGCAAGGCAAATTTACTTCTGTGGAAGGGTTTTGCTCACACTTTTGGCCACTGCGAGAGCACATCGAACAAAGGAGGGCTTTTTATTCCCAATGCTGTTAGTCCCTGCTTCTGTGTCTGTCCCCATTGGCTGGAGTTGGACCGCACAATCTAAACTGACCCTATTGGCTACTGTTTAAAATTGAATATGGCTAATTAGGCAAGAAGGGAGAGGCTGTCCATTATGGTACAAGGCATGTTTGGGCATGTCAGGGCATGGCAAAGGTGGGAAGGGTGGTTTCAGGGGAAGAGCTCTTTCGGCGGTAGGGGCAGTTTACAGAATGGGTAGCCAGGAGTAAAGAGGAACCTTTCCAAATAAGGAAGAGACATGAGTTACAGATTGGGACTGGCAGGAGAAGTTGTTTACAGAGCAGGTAGCTTAGGAGAAGGGACAAGGAAGTTGATCTCGAGAACAAAGAACAAGGAAGTCAGAAATTAAAACTTTGAAGCAGAACTTACTGTATCTGACAATAGTCACTGAAAACTGGAAATGTTCTTCAGTTGGTGAATGAATAGACAAATGAAATATTCTCTATCTTAACTGTGGTGATAAATGAATGACTGTATTTTTCAAAACTCACATAACTTTATATTACAAAGAGTAAATTTATTGTATATAAATTGAAAATAAAGTTTCAAAAATTATTTATTAATATATATGTGTACATTATATTCACAATAAAATATGTATAAATAATTCATCTCTAGTTAGAATGATATACCAAAAAATAAGATGTTTACTATTAGCATTCAATGTGGCAAATAAAATGTTGCAATATAATCCTTAGGGTATTATTCCATTCTTGCATTGCAAAACTGCAGATGGGAGGACTACTCGGTAAGTGTAGTTTAAGTTCATAGATCATATTATTTCAATAATTCTATCTAATTAATTGTAGGGTAGTTCTAAATTTAAAATATCATTAGAAGTTAATGAGCTGGCCAGGCACGGTGGCTGACTCCTGTAATCCCAACACTTTGGGAGGCCGAGGTGGGTGGATCACCTGAGGTCAGGAGTTTGAGACCAGCCTGGCCACACAGTGAAACCCTGTCTTTACTAAAAATACAAAAATTAGCTAGGCATGGTGGTGTGTGCCTGTAGTCTGCAGCTGTTCGGGAGGCTGAGGTTGGAGAATCGCTTGAACTGGGGAGGTGGAGGTTGCAGTGAGCCGAGATTGTGTCACTATACTCCAGCATGGGGGACAGAGCACGACTTCATCTCAAAAAGAAAGAAAATAAGTTAATGAACAGATAAAATTTTCTCATTATTCACTTGATCATTTTTATTTAAAGTTATAGTAGCACCACATGATTGCTACTGTATATGGATTTAGTCAGTTTTTGTTGGCCACTTGAATGGTTGAAACTCTAAAACATCATCTAAGAAGTGAAAATGTAGTTTGGAAAAGACTATGAGGATATACGGAAACAGGCAATTGAAAACATTAAATTTAAGCAGTGAAAAGAAAAAGGTTCAGTCTATGAATATACTCTAGATAAAATCTGGTAGATAGCAGTACAGCATAAAAACTTGGGCAGTCATGTGGGTGGTAGAGATAATAAATTCATGTGGAGAACATTTTCTTACATTGGCGTCTCTTTTGAAGATCTCATATCCAGACCGTATAAGCAGGCCCCCTGGAATTTGAAAATATCTTAATCTAACTGTACTCTCCTTCTCCTCTTCTTTTGCCACAAATTAGTTAATTATGCCATAGTAGTGATGTGGTCCTTATACAACAAATTGAATTAAAACTATGCATATCCCTGAAACTGGAGATATTTTGAAAATTTTCTCACAAATTAACTGAGATGTCTTTTCTGTTATGCCATTAAAAAATAACTACTTTGTCAAGAACTTTGAAAGATTTAAGAGTTTTTTCCTGCTTGTAAGTTAAAAAGCCCATCACAGTTTTGTGGTTTCTGGCAAAAGACATTAGACTCCTGGGTCAGAGATTAAAACAAAACAAAACAACAACAAAAAACAAAACAAAACAAAACAAAACCTGTTACTCATAGCTCAGTAGGCAGCATAAACTGCATGTTGGCATCATTTTCCCCTGTCCCCTAAATCCCATGGGAGCAATGTGAAATGGCCAGATAGAAGTGGTGCATGCAGCGGATTTGCATGATAGCCAGGGAACTCTGAGCTAAGTAAGCCCCAATCTTTGGAAGGAGCTGCAAGCAAACCTGTTCATTATTTTCCCTGTAGATATGACCTTTTTTATATTAGAGAGCTGTGGGGGCCAAGGGCTTTGAAAGATTTGTTGAAAATCACTGACATGAGGCAGATTCATTAATAGGAGAAAAGGCATACCAATTTATTTAATGTGTATACACGGGAGCCTTCAGAATGAAGACCCAACATCTCAATGAGGCACAGAAGCTCATATGCCATCTTGAGGGTACGGAAAGAATGAGGACTTGAATCCTGGTCAGGCAGGTTATGGGAGGGGGAGAAGAATTCTATTGAGAGGCAATAAAGGATTACTAGGTAGAATGATTATATTGGGGAACAGAAATTAACATGTAAATAGTTTTGTTTTTTTTTTAATTTAAATGTTCCTTAAATCATCCTTGGAGACAGACATTGTCTTGAAAAAGGGTATCTTCAGATATGGTTACATTCTTGGTTTTCTTTCCTGTAATGGATAATGAGATAATGGCGGGTGTGGGCAGTGTGGGGGCAGAGTAAGAACTATTGTTCTCCTTGGTGTGTCAGTCCTATCTTTAGGTAGGTAGGGGACAGGTCCCTTCTAGTGCTTGTTGATTTCTAAGGGTTTTTAATATAAAATATTCATTATACCACAGAGCCAAATTTTGGGGTTAAATATGTTAATTTTCTTCACAGCAAAAAAAATCTCTCTGAACCAGGAGACACTATTCCTATCCTCTTTTGAGGCTGTCTGCTATAGAAAATCCTTATAAAAGAATTCTGAAACAAAAGCTGTCAAATCTTCTGCTGAAAAGATCTGCGGAAACATGAGAGACAGATGAATTATCTCTCAATATAAACATTGAGTGAAAGTAGTTAAAACATTATTCTCCAAGCGTTAACCAAGAAGAATTTTTTAAAGCCAAGTAGGCCATTGCAACTCTAAGTCATTCCCAATCATAGCTAAAATCTAAAACAATGTAATGAATATGATAGCAAACAATAAAAATATTTCGAGTCTTTATTATCCATACCTGGACACTATTCTAAGACCTTGTAAAATGCATTGCCTCATTTAACTCTCTGACAGAGATACTATTATTATTATTCCTTTGACCTCATATAATCATTATTCTAGTCTGTCTAGCATGTCCTGCAAAACACGTATAAGTGATCCTGAGGAGATATGTGTTTAATAGCTTGCATGTCGTGGACAAATTTAAAGCTATACCATTTTGATTGGATGTGGTACAGGAGTGGAGACACTCAAAATAGTTGAATTTGTATAGTTATTTCCTAAATTTTCCAGATAGCCCATATAATTCATGTATTGTCCTTTATATACATCCTAGAAAGTAATTTTTCTTTATCCAGTTCTCTACTTTCTCCATGTATGTTCAAGCATCTTAACATTTTATTAATCTGTTCCTATATGACCCATTCTTGCTGCATTTAAATTTGTGCCTCCAATTCTAAGATGAGAATCATCCTATAATGGAGGTCCAGATATTTAGAGTTTGTGCTATCAAAAATTATTTTTCTAAGAAAATTATTTCACCTGAAGTTATCTAGTTAATAAAACAGAAATGGTGATGATCCAGAATATTTTTGATGAAGAGATATAAAACATACCTAGCCCTACTATACAACTATGGGACCATCACAGTTTAAAGTGCCTGAGGCCAACATAAGTGAGGGCCTTGAATTGGTAGTTTTGATTTTTCCATCAGCTATATTTTGGCAGCCAGAACTACAAAGCCTACACCTTAAAAATTTTTCAAGACTATAATTCTATGGCTTGAGTACTTTGCGATCAACTATTTCTAGCTTTGATCATCTAAGACTTGTGTGGTCATCAGACTGCCAAGAATGATTAATCATATTTAAAGTATTTTGATGGGGGTGATAGGAAGTAAAACAGAAGAATAGACTTTATCTTCCGGCCATGAAATTTCATCTGTTTACCACTGGTTTGTTATGTGGTCTTCCTGGAAACCATTTCATCTGATTCAAAATGCCAACAAAATTTAAAGCAGCGCTTAACTGCGCTTTACTCAACATAACTAAACTGCTATGATTTAAATGTGTCCTCCCAAAAATCATGTGCTGGAAACAATCCCTAATGCAACAGTGTTCGGAGGTAGGGCCTAATGAGAGCTGATTAGAACAAGAGGGCTCCATCTGCATGAATAGATTAATACCATTATCTCAGGAGAGGGTTTTTGTTGTTGTCGTTGTTTGTTTTTTTTTAATAAAAGGGAAAGCTCTCTCTTCTTCTCTGTCATTCTCTCTTGCCCTTCCACCTTCTGCCATGGGATGATGTAGCAAGAAGGTCCCCACAAGATGCTGAACACTCAGTCTAGGACCTTCTAGCATCCAGAACTGTAAGAAATAAATTCCCGTTCATTACAAATTACTTATCCAGTGGTATTCTGTTACAGCAGCACAACAACCTGACACATTCCCAGTGCACTACAAACTAGGAATCTTCTGCCAGGGTTAGGATAGGCCTGTTGAAAATGCCACTGAATGTCTCATGATGTTCTTTATTTCCAGTCTTACATTTCCCACAGCAAGAGTGATATTTCATTTTTTTGGAGATTAACAGTAAACTAATAAATTTAAGCCTTTGTATTATTTCCAAATGTTTAATTCTACTTCTTTGCAAGTCATTCATGTACTCTGTTTTCTCATACTCCATTGGCCTTATTTCACAGATCTTGGACCTCAGGTAGCGTAACAGTGTAGAAAGCTGCTCTTTCAACCATCCCATCTCTAAATTACAAATCTTCTACTAACTCTGAGGACTTATAGCCAGATGAATGATCTCAACTAGGTTTTCACTGATGCTGACACAGCTGCATATGTACAGATAACATGTTCTCTACCCATCAAGTCTCCATGAAATTTTCACATAATATCACTATCTTCTAGTGCATCTGCTTCCATAGCAGATTTCCATTCTCGGTATTACTCATAAGCCTAGAATGACCACCACCCCTGTATCCCAGTTAACAACTAAGGGAATATGAAAATGAGAAAGACCATGTCTAGATGCTTTACGAATGGTATAAAAATATACTAACCAATGTTTAGAAACATATCCACGGAAATGTTATTTAATTCACGAACCTGATAACAAGTGTCAAGACTAAAAATTGAAGAAGTGCCATCTTGAGATCTACCCTGTAAATAGTCTTCATACTCTCATTCCACCTTCTTTACCAAGTCTAGATCACCCACAAGAGCAGAGGTTACTGTGGAAAGTTAGACTTCAACGCTTCTACTTTGAAACAATGTGATATTCTCCAGTTTTGCTTCTTTTTATCTATTCTTGTCAATGGATCCAGGGAATTATTTCTAAGTTGTAACTTGTAAATTCAAATCATATTACTCGTTGTCTTAAAACTTTATAGTGAGTATCCTTAAATAGCACTACTCTCTCTTTGTGCCTCCTTTGTCTCTAAACTACTTTCAATTCTCAAAGGTAAGGCTGTTTTGGGTATCCATATTTTGCACATGTGTTCTCTTTGTCTAAACTAACCTGTATATATGCCCCTCCACCATCCTCTCTTCTCACTAACACATTTTTCAAGTCTAGTATAGAACAGGACATCATAAAAATGCAAGCCCTGAGAGAGTAGTGAGCAAGTCTTATTTGCTGTTAATCCCTATTGTCTAGCAAATTAGAGGTGATCACTATATATTGTTAAATGAATTATAAGCTGGTTTATCAATTTTCATTTATTCAAACGAAGAGTTGTCACGTTTCAGAAATATACTTCAAAGCACTTGTTAAAATTGATATAGACATTTCTTTGTGGGATAAACTTCAATGTGAAATTTCAATAGGAAGTTTTTCTTGTTATTATACAAGTAATACTCCAGTGTGTGTAAGTAGATGCCTATAATTCTTTACTCTTGGACAACTTGAAGAGTTAATTTACATTCAAGGCTAGAGAGCTTTCTGCTGATAGGTGCCATGAGAGTGTCAGAACACTTCAACTGAACTTTATCAAACTGAGTGGCAGATTGGTTTATCTAAATTGAGGACTTCTTTTCGCCCTACCTTTTAATTGTGGATCATTCTTAAGGTGTTTTATTATAATTGTGCACAGCTTGTGCTGTTTTATTGATTAAACTGCTGTGAAGCTCTTGGTGCAAGTACAGCACAAACTATGTGATATAAGCCTTTTAAGGTTATTGTTATGCTTGTAGTCAGATGGCTGCAGTTGTGATGGCTGTGATTGAAAAACAAATGAAATGTTTTTGGGAAACTGTAATCACATTAGTCTTGACATTTCACTACTTCCTCCTGGGTAACTAATAGGTTCTTTTCATTTCTAAAAAGAAACTTCTAATTAAATATTATTTTTCTTCTTTTTTTTGTTAGAAAAGGTCTAATTCTATGAAGACCTATTAGGCTGTATGAAGTTTCACCTCTTTCTTCATATTTGAGTTATTACTGTGCATGCCATGTGTATATACATACACATATTTCAAGAGGCTTAGGATTTAATGTAAGGATTTAATAACTTAATTCAAGAGGTCTAGGCGTATTTAATTACTATTAGACAAAGAATATGTACTTATAAGTAATTAGATTTCATTAGAAAACATAAAGAACCGAAAATTGTGATTCAGAATAAATCTGATATTGATGATTATGAAATTACCAAGTTCTTTGAGCATGGATAGGAAGCAAACGAAAGAGATGGAGTGTGAGGTCCTTCGACCTCATAATACTGTGAGATATTATACAATTAACACACCAGAACAGCAAAACCTTAGGCAGCTTTGGTAGTCAGATTGTCAGTTTGAATCCAGGCTTTATCATATACTATTTCTGTGATCTTGAGAACATTTTTTAACCTCTTAAGTCTCTGTTTCCTTATCTATATAAATAGGATAATAGTAATAGCTAACTGATATGATTATTGTAAGGATTTTATAACTTAATCCAAGTAAAGTATTAGAACATTTTAATCACTAAGTGTTGGCTCAACTAAACTCATCATAAATAGATAGAATGCCTACTGGTACGAGGTACCATAAGGCATAGAAAAAAAGCAAGGTAATTTCTGTCTTTCAGGGTATTTCCGTGCCCATTCGATGCATGACACAGTTCTGAATGCCAACCTGGTAGAATTAAAAGTACCAGCATCATTTCCCTCGAGCAGAAAAAAATGCTGCTGGAAGCCTTACTAAGTCAATAAATGGTAAGTGTGTTGCATATGAATACTGTGTGAGTTTAAAAAAAAACATTCATACTGAGTCACTAATGCTGACGAATAAGTTAAGGCTGTGGCTGGTCAGTATTTTCTTGAGAACCGATGTTACCAGTTGCTTTGTATTCAGGGATTATGTATAAATGTCATTGCACTACTCTTTTTAGCTCATGACATGTGCAAGTGCATACACATAGTCAACTGAAAAAGAAAGAATTAATTTTCTCTGGTGGGCAAAGTCTCAGGATATACCTATTATGAATGAATCTGACCAGAATTAATTATTTGGGTCTTGTAACATCAATATTCAATTTGCCAAAGTTAGGACCCCTCTCAGGAGTAAAATAGCCATGATTTATCTCTCTAAATTAAAAAGGTTGAATGGCATTACCTCATATACATAATTCATTTTAATTAAATGCATATTCTTAAATACCTTCTTAATGGATATCCAATGCCTCATTAATCTTAAATGTAACAACTTGAGATCCTTTGGGAAGTCATGTGATGACTCAAAATTCACAAACATAATGTGTAATGCCCAGGTAGAATGTCTATTAGGCAATCTATGCAGGTTGAGTATATGCCAGGTATGATACTCATTTACAATGCTGTTAGCTCAGGAAAATGTTAAACAGATAAAAGACATAGATTCAAAAAAGCTGTTTTTTCTACCATCTATTTTTAAAATTCTCTTTCAAATAACACTGAGATACTAATATTTTAATTTTTCTTCTAAGAGGAGAGTTTATGAGGGTTTGAGATAGACTGAGTTAACCCAAGTCAAATAAGGTTTCTTTTGTGTAATGGAAGTTTCCTGTGCATGTTAGACTATGAACTTACCAAAAGCAGAAATTTCTCTCTGCTTTGTTTACTTCTATGTCACCAGAATCTAGAAAATTCCCTCACATATGGAAGTCAATAAAAATTCCATGATTGAATGAATAATCTTCAAATACACTACAGTGCATTATGACTGCCTGAGAAGGTGACATGTCAGCATTGACCTACTTGATGTCCTCAATCTTTTTTACATTTTTTGAGACTGTAATATTTCAATGGAAGTAATTAGAGTACACTTTTCTGGCCCATAGTTGTGTCTTCCATCACAATCCCTGATAGAATTCACACTGATTGTGAGACATTAAGCTAAAGAATGTGATAAATGTCTTCATGCAAACCCACCACCATTACGAGAGAGAAAGATGTGATGCATGAAAACAAAACAAAATACAATTCTTAGTTTTATGAGCTCTCAAAAATAGATGAATTACTAATTAGACATCCAAGAAATATGCTTTGCATGTTTCATTTCTTTAGTTTCTTATATTGCCAGAAGAT
The DNA here is from genome assembly GCF_000001405.40 of Homo sapiens. Classification (NCBI taxonomy): domain Eukaryota; kingdom Metazoa; phylum Chordata; class Mammalia; order Primates; family Hominidae; genus Homo; species Homo sapiens. The sequence continues at coordinate 72,983,861 of NC_000012.12, forward strand.
GTGAAATCGCAATATACTATCTCTCATTATTTTGGCATAGCATACTTTTATAATGTAGTTTCTTTACAAAACAGATACTTCTAAAAGAAGAAAAATAAGTCTCTGAAGTTTCTCTAGTACATTAATTCATTTGAGGGAAAGAATAAAAGAGAGTGAGATGGGACACACCCACAGACACATTTCCAGAAAAGGCTACAAAGCCTGCAGAGATGGAATCAAACATATAGCTTTTACTGACTACAAAATACCCTTGTGAAATTTGAGAACTGCATGAGGCATTCTGCTTTTTGAAGCACTTTTACTTCATTAATTTAGGGAATGTGCACAATAACCTTGTGAGTTGAATCAGAAACACGGTCCCATTTTGCAGATAATGAAATTGTGACACCAGGCAGTAGGAGGAATTTGTATAAGGTTATGTGAGTAATGAATAGTATATTGCAGAGATGGGATAAACAAATTGCAGTCATTAAATATGTACACTAGTATGGCTATGAATAAAAGAAAGAAGAGGGTTTTGGTAGAGAAGGAATATAGAATTGGACAGGCAGTAGAGCAACCTGATGATATGTCACTGAAATTTTTTGAGTCTTAAGCAAAGGTTCACAGAGGAACTAAGGTTGAATATAGAATCTTGTAGCTCATCACACACAAAGAACACAACAATGAGATTCAGAGAGAAGTTTTTATAAATGAAGCTATTCAAATGATAATTCTTTCAATCAAATTTTCCTTCAGTCTATTCAGATTTTTAAAAAGTAACTAATATTTATATAGACTTACAGTGTGTCAGGAACAGTTCTTATTGCTTTGCATGTATTAATTCATTTAGTTATCCTGACCATCTGTTTTGTAGATTAGAAGATTGAGGCAGAAGGAGATTAGGTAACTTGCTCAAGGTCATATAGCAGAAATTTGTGCCCAGGCAATCTGGCTCCAGAGACCACACTCTTAAGACTACACTACTCTGCCTCTAGATAACTGAGCTACTCTCTTTTTTTTTATTCTACTGAATTAAGAATTTAAATTGAATTGGGGCAATATTACAGCACAGGAGTTAAACACAAGGAATTGAAGGTTGACCCTCTTTAGTTCTAGTGCTTGCTCTGAAACTGATTAGCTATGTAATTTTTAACAACTTATTTAATTTCTCTAAGACAGTTTTCTGTTGAATGGAAGGAAAAATAGTATGTATAGATTTACTAGAAGAATTACATGAAAGGACAAATACAAAAATGTTTAGCGAAGTACCTGACTTTTAGTAAAAAGCCATTTAATGTTAAAATTATTATTATTGACTGAATCAATCATTTGCTTTAATATCAAAAGGTTTCAACCATGTTGAGAAGAACAGATTCAGTGGGAAAATTTTCTATGAGCATCTTTTGTTATAACTGCTGTTACCGGATTGGTTATCATTAGCTTCTTTTTCATACTGCTCTGAGATTTTTGAAATGACATTTTAAAGTGTTTGTGTAGGAAGTGGTTCATGTAAAAATTGTCAGATCACTAAGACCCAAGAACAGAGAAAATCCTGATGCATCCCTAAAATTCAATAAAGATATTTAAAAAGCACATTTATTGAAGTTAGAAATATTGAATTGATTTTTTTAAAAGATGCTTCAAAAGGCCTTCTGAATAACTTTCGATGAGTTTAAAAGAGTGAATTGAAGAGTAGTGAGACTGTGAGACTAAATGGAACTTTTGTTAAATGCTTTGGAACTCTTTAGGAAAAAAGTAGAAATATTCATTAATTTTTTTATTTTAATGGAAGTATCAGTTACAAAAAATAAAATAAATATACGATAAATATTTAGTTTGACAAGTTTTTATAAATGTACGTATCTGTGTAATCACCATCCTGATCAAGATACAGAACATTTTCATCTCTGCAAGAAGCTCCCTAGTGCCTCTTTCAATTCAATCCCCACCTCAAACTCTACCCTCCTCCGACATTGACAAATGCTTTCTGATTCCTTTTTGGCGTTCATATAGACTATATGTCATGCTTCTTTTACTCCACATAATAGTTTTTGAATTCATTCATTTTGTTACATTATCAGCGGGTCATGTTTTTTCTTACTGAGTATTATGACATTGTGTATTAGGTCCTCCTTATCCATGGTTTCAATTTCTTTTTTCTTTTCTTTTCTTTTCTTTTTCTTTTTTTTTTTTTGAAACGGAGTTTCACTTTTGTTGCTTAGGCTGGAGTGCAATGGCGCGATCTCGACTCACTGCAACCTCCGCCTCCCAGGTTCAAGAGATTCTCCTGCCTCAGCATCCCGAGTAGCTGGGATTACAGACATGCACCACCACGCCCGGATAATTTTGTATTTTTTAGTAGAGATGTGGTTTCTCCATGTTGGTCAGGCTGGCCTCTAACTCCCGACCTCAGGTGATCCGCCCACCTCGGCCTTCCAAAGTCCTGGAATTAACAGGCATGAACCACCACGCCCAGCCTCATGGTTTCAATTTCTATGGTTTAGTTACATACAATCAACCAAGCCTAAAAATATTAAATAAAACTTTCCAGCAATAAACAATTCATAACTTCTAAGTTGCACAGCATTCTGAGTAGCATGATGAATTTTGTGCCATCTTACTCCATCCTGCTTGGGATGTGAATTATCCTTTGGTCCGGAATGTCCATGCTGCATAGTCTACTTGCCAATTAATCATTCAGTGGCCATCATTGGTTATCAGATGGACTGTGATGGTATCATAGTGCTTTTGTTCAAGTAACCCTTATTTTACTTAATAACGGCCCCAAGGCACAAGAGTAGTGATGCTGGCATATTGCTGTAAGTGTTCTATTTTATTATTAGTTATTGTTGTTAATCTCTTACTGTGCCTAAGTTTATAATTTCAACCTTATCACAGGTATACATGCATAAGAAAAAAACATAGCAGTATATATAGGATTTGGTGCTATTTGGGGTTTCAAGCATCTTCTGCGTGTCTTGGTATATACCTCTTGCAGATAAAGCATGATTTTTCTTACTATGCAAATAAGTAATGCTACTTATAAGTATAGTTATAAGTAATCATGCCTTATCTTCAGGAGATACATTCCAGGACCCCCAGGAGATGTTTGAAAGCCCAAATAGCACCAAACCATATATATGCTATGGGTATATACTATATTTTATAGTAGAAAATGTCAGCAATTTTATCTTCATTCACTTGTTGCAGAAAAATGTTTCTCCAGTATTTGGCTATAATGACTACTATGAATATTCTTGAATAAGTCTTTTGGATATATGTTTTCATTTCTCTTGTATAAATACAAGTGAAATTGATGAGTCATGGGGTGAATGATGGTTTAACTTCATAAGAGATTGACAGTCTAAAAAGCTATACAAATTTATGTTCCTAACAACTGTGTATAAAGTTTCCAGATGTAGATATATTAGCATTTTCTATTTTTTGTGCACTTTTCATAATTGTGATTTTCTAGGAGATTGCCTATTTTATCTAAATCGTCTAATTCTTAGCATTACTTTATCCACAATACCACCTTTGATATCTGTAGAATCTTTGGTAATTTCCTCTCTTTTGTTCCTGATATTGGGAATTAGTCTTATTAGTCTCTCTCTCTCTCTCTCTCTCTCTCTCTCTCTCTCTCTCTCTCTGTCTGTCTCTCTCTCTGTCTCTCTCTCTCACACACACACACACACACACACACATTGTTATTAACCAGTCTTTCTAATTTTTTATCAATTTTCTTCATTTTTACAAGAAACTAATTTTTGGCATTGCTTGATTGTATCTCCATTTTATTTACTCTTGCTGTTATTTTTTTTCATTTCATTTTGTTCTAATAATTTTGGAATTGCCACTCTTTTAACTTCTTGAGTTAAAAGCTTTGAATATTACCTTGGACCATTTTCTTTTCAAGTGTAGCCATATAGCTGTATTTTTTAGCTGTATATGTTACTCGACACCGTTGATTGTGGCTGATTGCCAAAAGTGAGATTAACTCTCCACTCAAAACTGTGTGATAAGTTGAGACTGGTGACATGACAATCACCAGTAGGCTGTGAAAAGAGTTATTACCTATATAGGAGGATTTTCTGGGTAAAGTAGGACAGGCTCAAGACAGTTTAGGTAACTTGAGGGAAGCAGAGAGAGTGAGTTAATTTTTAGTATGGCTAAGAGGTGGGAATGGGAAGATTTCATGCCTGTGCAAATGGGTCTGAGCTTCAGTGATATGAATGTTCTGCTAGTACCATGGAAGCAGGTATGTAAACTTTTTAATTGGCTTGGCTAGATGTAGGACAAAAGAGGAAGGGGGAGGATAGGCTTGTAAGCTGTCAGTAGTGAAACATCAAAAATGGAGTCTTTCTCTTTATTATAGCCATATCTATCTCCATTCCACTAATTCTATGTTGCATTTCATTATTATTTGGTAACGTATTTTCTAATTTCCTATGTATTTCTTTTTTGACCTATGAGTTATTCAGAAATGAGTATCTTAATTTCAAATATTGAAATTATTTGAGGCATTTTCTTTGTATTTTATCCTTATTGATTTCTAATATAATTTAATTAGAAATCTAATTTAACACCATTGTAGTCAGAAAGCAAGACTTCGTATTTTTCAGTCCTTTGAAATTTATTGAGATGTGTTTTATAGCCCACCATATAATATTTGTACAGTTAAAAAATGTATATTATGATTCTGATAGGTGTTGTTTTCTATAAATATAAATTAGGTACAGGATGTTGATAGTGGTTTTCAAATATTCTTTATCATAAACAGCATTTCTTTCATTGTTCTGTCAATTACTGACAGGAGCATGTTAAAACTTCCAATGCGATTATGGACTTGTCTGTTTCTTTCTTTAGTTATATTTTCACTTCATGAATTTGAATCTTTGTTATTAGGTTCACATACTCTGTTTTAGGTACATTAGTATGTCTCTAATAATTTGACTTTTTATCATTATGAAATGTCTCTACTTCTGATTATACTCCTTAATTTGCCTGATAATAATATAGCCATGTTGACTTTCATATGGTTACCGTATTTATGGTGTATATAGACATAGAAATAGATATATATGTGCCCTTTTACATTCAATCTATGCCTTATATTTAAAATGTTTCTTGTTTTCCGAACTTTGACGATTTGAATATAATATGCCTGTGTGTGCGTATGTTTTTTGGTTTTTTTTGTTTTTTTTTTGGTGTGGGGTGGGTGGTATTTCTCTTGCTTGGTACTAACTTCCTGAATTTGCAGTCTGGTGTCTGTCACTAATTTTAGAAAATTTTTGGTCATTGTTACTTTAAATGTTTCTTTTTCTCTTTTCTCTTTATGACATTCCAATTTCATATATGTTATATCTTTTGGTATTGTCTCACAATTTTGAGATGTCCTGTTCTATTTTGTTTTCTATTCTTGTTTCTCTTTGCATTACAGTTGCGAGTGTTCTATTGTTCTGTTTTCAAGTGCACTGATTCTTTCCTTGGCCATGTCCAGTTTTTTGGTGAGTTCGTTGAAAGCATACTTTAATTCTGTGTCTGTGTTTTTCTATTTCTAGCATTTCCTCTTGACTCTTTTTTTTATAGTTTCCATCTCCCTGCTTACATTACCCATCTGTTCTTGCTTCTTATACACTTGTGGCATTAGAGCCCTTAACATATTAATCATAGTTATTTTAAATTCCCTGTCTGATGATTCCCATATCTGTTTCTTATCTCAGTGTGGTTCTGATGAAATTGTTTTCTTTCTCCAGAGTGTGTTTTTACTTCCCTTTTGGGACTTGTAAATGTTGTTGAAAGCCAGATATATTGCATTAGGCTACAATTTCCCTTCCCTCCCTGGGTCACCTGGAAGATGTCTCTTCGATTGTCACTGTGAGAAGCTGGTGGAAATTCTGGAAATCTCACTGTGAGAAGCTGGTGGAAACAAAGTAAATATGTCCTTAGTGTGAGGATTTATGTTAATCTGACTAACAGTTAGCCTGTGTTTAGTGTCGATTACAGCAGTAGATACCCAAGCGTTATTGTATTTTTCCCTGTTATCTTTGGGCTTCCCTATGTACTCTTTTTCAGAAAGCCTGTTTTGCATCTCATTCGGCTGTAATGCACTATCTTTACACTGGATCCCTGTTGGCATAATACTCAAATATAAAGGGAAGGGGATAATTTTGTAATCTTCTCATTAATCTGCTATTTAGTGGGCCTGTATCTCCAAGGTATGACCTTCACAAGTGTTTCTGAAATAGCATAGCTTTTATTCCCCTTCCTCCTACTCCTGTTCTAGTACAGAATTTTCAGTCTATTTCCTCGAAACCCTGAACTCCGTTGACCATGTTTCCCCCAACTCCCTTTGGTGAGACAGGAAGTCTAGTGACTGGAATAAGGAGGAGAAATTCTCTTCTGAAGTTTGAAGTTTGCACTGTGGCTAAGTCCTTTGCCTAAAAGATTAGGGGAAATATTGTGATGATTGTACCCAAGGGCTACTCTTGCCCTTCCCTGACAGTCACCAGGGGGGATTTCTCGTGGATTGTCAAAGTGAGAAACTGGTGGAAATCATGGAGAGGAAATTTAGGAAAGTTTGTCCCCCATTCCACCCCAAGACTGTGTCTCCTAGGAGTTTCTTACTCTCCAACTAGTCCATAATAAGCCTCCTACAATTTATCCCAATTCCCAGTAAGTGTTTCTGCCAGTTTCTGGCTTCAGTAGTTTCTGCTTCAGGTAGGCAGATTGCAGCTGTATCTTTTCAGATGTGCCTGATTTTCTGGATTGAAGGATGGTAGTTTGCCCTGTGATCTCCAATTTTATTATGGGTCCGAAAAAGTCCCTGATTTTCAGTTTTTCTAGCTTTTTCTAGTTTTAAATATAGGAGTGGCTCTTTGCATGTCAAAACTGAAACCAGAAGTCTGCAGTATTTCTTGTACTACATAAAATATAGGTGGTTTTGTTTTTTTCATCTAATCTGACAATCTCTCCCTTTATTTAGTGTATTTGGTCCATTTACATTTAATTTCATAATGGATATGTTTATATTTAAGTCTACTATCTTGGTATTTGTTTTACATTTGTTCTGTCTATTCTTTGTTTCTCTGTTCTTCCTTTCCTGACTCCTTTTCAGAGTCAGGCATTTTTTAGCATTTCATTTTATCATAGGGAATCCCCAAGATAACAGGGAAAAATACAATAATACTGGGGTACCTACTGCTATATCTCTCTATTGGATTATTAGCTATAGTTTTCTATTTTATGTTTTAGTAATTTTTATAAAGTATTAACTGTCTATGTCATCATAATCTACCTTTAAATAATATTATGTGGCTTCATGGCAAATGTATAAGCCTTTCAATAGTATTGTTTCATTTACCCTTTCCTCCCTTTTTGCTCCTGTCACATATTACACCATTCTATATGCAGAAACCTCACAATTCATTTTATTATTTTGTTTTAAATGGTTATTAGTCTTTTAAAATGTATATATTTATGTATGTGGGCTCCCAGCTTTCTGTAGCTGTTGATTTACCCTTTTATAGAAATTTCTCTCAGATATTTTGTCCCAACTCCATTCTTCAGTCAGGTGTTGCTTTGTCCTAGGGGAAGGCCCCATCTGCCTCAAGGAGGTCCTCTCAGTTTCTTTACCTTTTTAACTCAGTCTTTGGCCAACTACTCCTGAATTTGTTTAGTGTGCCTGTGTCTCCAAGCTATAACCTTCGGAAGTGTTTCTGAGGTAGCATAGCTTTTGTTCCCCTTTCCTTCTACTCCTGTTGTGGTGCAGAATTTTTAGTCTATTTCCTCAAAACCCTGAACTCTGTTGATCACGTTTCCCCCAAATCCTTTTGGTGAGACAGGAAGTCTAGTGACTGGAGTCTATGAAGAGAATTGGTAGGTGAATACATATTGCCCTGTGGCTGGGGATCTTTGGGATTCTAATTCATCATATTAGCTCACATGTAGCCACAAAAAGTTTGATATACATTTATCTGGTTTATTCTGTCCTCAATCAATTATTTCTTCTTGTTCTTCACCAGGAATAAATGCAGTAGTGATATGTTTTCTTATAGAAAGGGCTTGTCACTGTCTGGATATTAGCTCATTTAGATTTCTTTGCATTCTTAACTGTCTGCATTTTTTTATTGTTGGGTAGTTTGTTCAGCTTATTTCCAGCTTTATAGTTCTCCCAACATTATTACTTTTAAAATTCTAACTGGAAGTAGAAGTCCTCTTACTGTTGTATAAAACATCTGCCTACTTGACAGGTGCCATCAGCCAATTTGTAGATAACCTATTGCAAATGCAAGTAAAAGCATTTTACAACTAGTCTTCTCTTTATAGACATTTATGCAGAATAACTATATTTAAGGCATGGATGAAGAATTCAGGGCTATAGAAAGATCTTATCAATATATCTCAGAGCTACTGTTGTGGTAGCAGCAGGGGTTCATCACAGGTCATGCAAGTTGTTCGGCTTGACTAATGAAGAATATGGCTTCTTTTACTGAGTTAATCATAGGTCCTAAGTCTTCTGGTGTCATCAGGCTCAAGAAGAACTGTATGAACACCAAATTGTGAGTAGCAAGGGAGAAGTGAACACATTAGTATCTGCAGGGATGTGAACAGAAATAAAGGTCAGAATAATATCTGTTTAGAATTTCTAAATGTCTATGTCCTTCTGTGGTGCCCACCACTGGGAGAGGGGGTAGAAAATAACAAACCCTAATAATAAACACTCTCTAGTCTTAAACATGCACAGCATGATGATGGCCATTCAACCCAGTCATGGAACTACTAATTGGATGATTATCTTTTGTATAGATGCTATTTCTATATACTTTCCGAACCTCAAGAACCTCTGTTGCTTAGTGCTGAGGAGCTCTCCCCATCTTCACACTCCTTCACATGGAAAAAGTGTGTGTGTGAGATTGTGTTTATTGAGGGGGATGGGAGCTTATATATTTTTTCAAAGTGAACTTTATTTTTAAAGCAGTTTAGGGCCTGGGTGCAGTGGCTCATGCCTCTAATCCTAGCAATTTGGGAGGCTGAGGTGGGAGGATTGCTTGAGGCCAGGAATTGGAGACCAGCCTGGGCTACTTAGTGAGACCCTGTCTTTATAGAAAAATGATGATAAAAATTAGCTGAGCATGGTGGCACGTGCCTGTAGTCCTACCTACTCAACAGGGTGAGACAGGAGGATGGCTTAAACCCAGGAGTTTGAGGCTGCATTCAGTTATGATCCTGCCACTGCACTCTAGTCTGGGCAAGAGAGCGAGGCCCAGTCTCTAAATATAATGAAAATAATAATATAAATAAGGTAAATAAATCAGTTTTGGATTTACATAAAAATTGTGAAGATAGTATGGAGTGTTTGCATATATCTCAAACTTAGTTACCCCTGTTATTAATATCTTACATTAGTATGCTATAGTTATTACAGTGAAAAGAGTTTAATTAAGCCCATACTTTACTCAGATTTTCTTCATTTTTATCTAATGGAAGGATCCCGTTCTAGGATCCCCAACCAGGACACCACATTATGCTTAGCTGTCAATATCTCCTTAAGGCTTCTCGTGGTTGTGACAGTTTCTTAAACTTTCCTTGTTTTTCATAATCTTGATAATTTTGAGAAGTGTTGGTCATGTATGTTTCAGAATGTTCCTCTATTGGGATATATCTGATGTTTTTTAACAGGTTATAGGTTTTTGGAAGGAAGATTATAGAGGCAAAGTGCCCTTCTCATCTCATCAAACCAAGGACATACAATATCAATTTGACTTAGCTCTATTGATGTTGACCTTGATCACCTGGAGGAGAAAACATTTGTCAGGTTTCTCCACTATAAAGTTACTCTTCTAATTTCTCACTTTAAATTCTGTACTCTTTTGAAGAGAGTCCCTATGTGAAGCCCACACTTAAGGAGTCGATAGTTTCACTTTTCCTCCTGAGATTTGTCCTCCTTTCCCATCTTATTTATTCAATCAATTATTTTTATCAGTATGATTTCATAGATATATATTGAAACTTTGAGTTACATCTAATATCATTTTATATATTTTCTTGTTCAAATTGTTCTAACTTTGGTCATTGCAAGTTGTTTCACTTGCTTTTTGTGTTCCCTTTTTTCCTTTCTTTTTTGCACTTTCTTATTTTCTGAAGCAGAATACTCCAGACTCCTCTTCTGTATTTCTGTATTTCACTTGCTTTTTGTGTTCCCTGTTTTTCCTTCTTTCTGTATTTCCTACCGCATTCCCAGTATTAGCCATTTTTTTTGGTCCAAGAAGCCCTGGTTATTTTTCATGGAGAATGATATTAGAAACCAATATCTGGGTGTGAAGTGAGTTGTTTGTCCCTACTGGGGTGTAACATTTCTTCTAGGCCCTCTCAGCTGACAGAGCAAGGAAATATTTAGTATATGCTAACTCTTGTATATACAAATATCTTTATATATGTATGTGTTTGGAACTGTGTCTTTATAAGTTAAATATGAATGTCTGTTGATGTCTTCAACTGTAACCCATTACCGCATCAATTATTCTGATCTCATCACATTGCTTATCTGTAAATTCCCACTCCGAAAGTGAGAAGACTGGATCCCCTCTATTCACCATCCTTTAACTTAATTGTTCAATTCTATATTGAATTGTGTTTTATGGCCTACCATAGAATATAAGTACACATATATGAGTTAGCAACTCTGATACTATAGCAGTGTTGGAATTGTATTAGTATTAGTATACCTATACTAAAACTATTATACTATTAGTATTCCTATACTAATACTATTATACTATACTAAAAGTATACCTACGCTAATCCTATTATACTATTAGTATTATATACATACAATACCTATTATCATAGCAGTATTAGAATTTTATTAGTATTAGTATACCTATACTAATCCTATTATACTATTAGTATTATATGTATACTATTAGTATATTATATATTAGTATACCTATATACCTAATATACCTATATAATAGTATACCTATATATTAGTATACCTATACTAGTACATTATACTATTAGTATAGCATACTAATAGTATATGTGTAATACTAATAGTATAATAGGATTAGTATAGGTATACTAATACTAGTACAATTATATACAATTACATAGTATTAGTATACTAGCAATATTAGTATACTAGTACTATTAGTATGCTAATACTAATAGTACTGATATACTAGTACTATTAGTATGCTAATACTAATAGTGCTGATATACTAGTACTATTAGTATGCTAATACTAATAGTACTGATATACTAGTACTATTAGTATGCTAATACTAATAGTACTGATATACTAGTACTATTAGTATGCTAATACTAATAGTACTGATATACTAGTACTATTAGTATGCTAATACTAATAGTACTGATATACTAATACTAATAGTAGAGTATTAGTATGCTAATTCTAATAGTACAAGTATATTATTAGTATACTATAGCAGTATTAGAGTTGGTAAACTCTACCTGTACATATATTACATGGTTGGACACAAAACACAAACTTATCTTGATAAATTTCAAGGATTAAAGCATACAAAGTTTTGTTTCTTGTCTTCAATGGTATTAAATTAGGGATCAGTGAGAGTAAGGTATTAAGTAAATTCCAAAATATTTATAAATTAACCTGAATAACTCATATTAATGGGAAAAAAAATCACATGAGAGATTATAAAATATTTCTCACTGAATAATAAAGGAACACGACATAACTAAAATGAAGAAGAAGAAAGGAAATGAAAGAAAGAAGAAAGAAAGAAAAGAGAAGAGAAGAGAGGAAGGGAGAGAGGGAGAGAGGAAAGGAGGGAGGGAGGAAGGAAGGAAGGAAGGAAGGAAAGAAGGAAGGAAGGAGCGAAGTGAGGGAAGGAAACTCCCATTTTTGTCGCTTAGTTCTATGCTGCAGCACTCTTTCAACACTTCGCCAGGCCGCCAGTTTACAACTCCATCTTAGCTTTCACTTCCTGCTTCTGCTGACTGTAGATCAACCAGAGATCAAAATGTAGGGTTTTCTCAAGTCTTTCTGAGTATGAGTTCTGTCCTGGGCATGCACGTATGCATGGCTTTCCAAATAGCCTTGCCCTTTTGGATGTCACAATTTCCCCCAAAAATATTCTCCTCAGCTTTTCCTTCCAGGCTTTTGACACACTTTATTTATTTATTTATTTTTTGCCTCAAATGTAATATTTTGCCCCAGTTGGCAGCAAGTTGTTTATGTGCTTTTGAGAAATGATGGGTGACTCTATTTTGAGTAATTCTGAGTAAGGGAAAACAAAGACATGTTACTTGTGCTGGGCCTTCAGGCAGCTTTTAAATAGGTCAAAACGGACAAACGCAATTCTTTAAGGACAAATTCTGATCTGCTCTCTCTATAACCAGGGAACAGTGTTTCATATTTGGACTATGGGCTTCCATCTTCAAGATCAGCTCTGAATTGAATAGGGGAGTGTAGTAAGGACAGGTAAAAATGCTGTGAAGTTTTCTTGTTACTTTACAGTTGCCTTTTTCTTCTTTCAGCATTCACTTGATTACTGTAAAGCTTTGACTACTCTTTAGTGTTTTGACAATATTAATTCTGACAGTTTTACTTAATTTTTTGATGTTTCTGTGGATGAATGGGACTGTGGAGTTACTTTTGCCATCATTTTTGCTCTTAGTACTCTATATCTTTTTCGGCCAGGTGGCTGTGTAATTTTTTTGCCCACTTTCAAATTAGGATGTTTGTATTCTGATTGTTGATGTGTCAGTTTTCTGTTTATTTGGAATATAAGTCTTTTATCAGATATGTCTTTTGCAACCATTTTCTCTCAGGTTTTAGCCTGTTTTTTGATTCTCTCCACTGTCTCACGGAGAAGAAATTTTTTATTTACTTGAAGTTCAACTTATCAATATTTTCTTTGTGAATCATGCTTTAACCATATTTATATAAAAATGTATTGGCAAACCCAGGTCACCCAGATTCTCTCGAAGCTTTATCGCTTTCCATTTCACATTTAGATGTATGGTACATTTTGAGTTAATTTTTGTAAAAGGTGTCAAGTCTGTGTCTAGATTCTTTTCTTTGCATATTATAGGTCCACTTACACTAGAAACTTTTGTTGAATTGCCTTTTTTGGGGGTACTGTCTAACATTAGTTTATATTTATGTGAGTCTTATTGCGACTTTCTATTTCATTCCATAATATATGCTCTTGATTATTATAGCTTTATAGCAAACCATGAAGTCAGGTAACGTGAGGTTTTCAAATTTGTTCTTAATATTGTGCTGGATCTTCTAGATTTTTTTTCTCCTTTTAATTTTAGAATCAATTTTTCAAAAACTACAAATAACTTACTGGGAATTTGACTAGGATTGTGTTGAATCTATAGCTCAAGATGTAAAAAATTGGTATTTTAAGAATATTGAGTCTTCCAATCCATAAATATAAAATATATCTGCATTTATTTATTGTTAAATTTATTTTATCAGGATTTTATGGTTTTCTCTATATAGATTCTGTGTATATTTTAATGAATGTGCATGTATTTTATTTTTTTGGAATGCTTATTGTAAATTTTGCTTTTTAAAAAAATTGATCTCAAGTTCCACATATTCACTGCTGTTTTATATGAAAGCAATTACATTTGTATGTTGAACTTGTATCTTGTGACCATGCTATATAAACTTATTTCCTGGAGTTTTTTGGTTTGTTTATTTGGGGGGGATTTTCTTCATAGACAATCACGTTATCTGCTAGGTGAAACAGTTTTTGTTTTTCTTCCTCTCAATCTGTATAACTTTTATTTTTTCCTGTTATCTAACTCCCACTATAAATTGAATAAGACTGGTGAGAGAGGATATATTTACATTGTCCATGATCTTCAGAGAAAACCATACAGATTCTCACCATTAAATATAATATTAGTTGTAAGGTTTTTGTAGATATTCTTTATCAAGTTGAAAAAGTTCTCCTCTATTTTTATTTGCTAAGATATTTTATGATAAATAAATCAGATTTTTTTCAAATGCTTTTTCTCCACCAATTTTTTTTTCTTGAGCCTATTGATATGGTGGACTGTAGTGATTTTGTAATTGAACTAGCCATGTATATCTGGAATAAATCTGATATAATGGTGGTGTATAATTCTTTTATAGATTGTTGGATAAGATTTGCTAATATTTTATTGAGGGTTTTGCACCTGTTATTAAAACAGATATTGGTATGCAATTTTCCTCCTGTTAAATGTTTATTTAGTTCCATTATTTCGGTGATGGTAGCCCCATAGAATGAGTTAGAAGTGTTTCCTCTGAGTCTTTGGAAGAGATGTTGGTAAATGGCTATAATTTATTTATTAAAGAGAATTCACTGGTAGATTTTACCAGTGAAATTATCTGAGTCTGCTGCTTTGTTTTTTTTCCTTAGGTTATTAATTATTTAACTTCTTTAATAATATAGGCCAATCATGTAATTTCCTCAATTTTATTTAATGATATAGGTCAATTATTTAATATTTTTAATGATAGTGGCCATTTAGGTTACTTATTTCTCCTTGTCTTTATCTTAGTAGTTTGCATCTTTTAAAAAGGTGGTCTATTTTGCCTAAGTTACAAAATTTTGTGGGCATAGTGGTGTTTATAGTATTTCTTTATTATTCTTTTAACATCCAGGTGGTACGTAGTGGTGATCTCTTTTTCTCTTCTGTAGTCAGCAATTTGTGTCTTCTCTCTCTTACTTTTGGTTGGACTACCTGGCTGGAAATTTGTCAATGTTATTGATCTTTCAAAGAACTAGCTTTTGTTTTTTGTGTGATTTATTCTATTGATTTTTTAGTTTACAATTTTATTGAATTCTGATGAAGTTTATATTATTTCTTTGTGTTCTATTTGCTTTAGGCTAATATTGCCCTTATTGCCCTTTCTTTGCTAGTCTTCTCAAGCATAAGCTTATGTTATTAATTTAAGAGGTACCATATATTCTAATATACACATTTTAATTTCTGTCAAAGTAATGCTATTGCTGCATCCCACACATTTTATTAAGTTGTACTTTTATTTTCATTTAGTTCAACATATTTTAAAATATCACTTGAGGCTTATTTGACCAAAATGTTACCTACAGAAATATTGTTTAATTTCCAAATATGTGAGGATTTTTAAGCTATTATTTGTTATTGATTTCTAGTTTGATTCCAGTGTGGTTTGAGAATATACTTTGTATAAATTTCTATTCATTGATGAGTGCTTTACATGAGCTTGAGAAGAATATATTCTGTTGTTGGATGGAGTATTCTGTAAATGTTAACTGGATTGAGTTAACTGAGAGTGTTGTTTAGGTAAACTGTATACTTACTAATTTTCTTGTCTGCTTGTTCTATCTACCTGTTACAGAGGGGTAAAGAGGTATCCAACTAAAATACTGGATTAATCTATTTCTTTTTGCAGTTAGTCAGTTTTTGCTTCAAGTGTTGATACTCTGTGTTTAGGTACATATACATTAAAGATTGTTCAGTGTCCTCTTGAGGAAACAACCTTTTTATTTTTATGTAACGCCCTTCTTTATTCTTGATTCTTATTGTAAAGTCGGCTTTGTCTGAAATCAATATAGGCCCTTTTAAAATTAGTGTTAGCATGGTGTATTTTTTGCCATCTCTTTTCTTCTAACGTATTTGAGTTTTTATATTTAAGTGAATTTCTCATAAATCTCGTGGTGGTGTTTTTCTTTTTCCCCTCTAATTATTTCTATCTTTTAATTAGTATATTTAGACAATTCACACTCAAAGTGATTGTTTTTATGTTGGATCAATATCTGCCATATTTGTAACTATTTCTTTATGCGGTGCTATTTCTTTGTTGCTTTTTTCTAATCTTTTTTTCCCCTTCTTTGGCTATAATTGAGCATTTCATTTTCTCTCATATCCCATATCAATTACATTTCTTTATAAATTTTAGTAGTGGTTACGCTAGAATTTGTCATATACATGTTTAACTAATCTAAGGTCACTTTCAAGTAACACTATACCACTTCATGAATGGTGCAGGTAACTTATAATAGAGCATTCCCAATTCCTCCCTCCCATCGTTTATGTCATTGCTGTCATTCATTTTACTAATCTATATGCTATAATTCAGTGCATGGCTACTATTATAATTTTTAAAAATTATATCAGTTAAGATTGAAAAAAATAAAAGATTGCATTTTACTTTTCTTTATTCTTTTTCCAAGGCTTTTCCTTAAAAAAAATGGATTGAATTTCTACTCTATATCATTTTCCTTCTCTCCAAATAACTTCTTGTTCTTACATTTCTTGTGGGTCAGGTGTGTTGGCAATGAATTCCCTTAGTTTTTGTTTGTTTAATAGAGTCCTTAATTTTTGTTTGTCTAAGAGAATCGTTAGAGAATTTGTTGAGCATTTGTATTTTTCCTTCAGTTTAAATAATTTTACTGCATATAGAAATCTAAATAGGTGGCTTATTTCTTTCAGCAATTTAAATATTTCACTTCACTCTTCTTGCTTGCTTTCTGAGAGGAAGTCTACTAGAATTCTTTTTATTTCTTTTTTTTAAAAAAATTATTTCAATAGTTTTTGGGGAACAGGTAGTTTTAGTTATATGGATAAGTTCTTTAATGGCAATTTCTGAGATTTTGGTGCACCTGTCACCCAGGGAGTGTACACTATACCCAATGTGTAGTCTCCCATCCCTCACTCCACTCCCATCCTTCTTCCTCAGTCCCCAAAGTCCATTATATCATTCCTATGCCTTTGCAGTCTCACAACTTAGTTTCCAGTGTAAGTGAGAATGTGCTATATTTGGTTTTCCATTCCTGAGTTAGTTCACTTGGAATAATGGTTTCCAGTTGCATCCAAGTTGCTGAAAATGTCATTATTTCATGTTTTTAATGGCTGAGTAGTATTCCGTGGTGTATATATACTACATTTTCTTTATCCACTCATTGGCCAATGGACATTTATGTTGGTTCCATATTTTTGCAATTTTGAATTGTGCTGCTATCAACATGCATGTACAGGTATACTTTTCATATAATAACTGTCAGGCCTCTGAGCCCAAGCCAAGCCATCGCATCCCCTGTGATCTGCACGTATATGCCCAGATGGCCTGAAGTAACTAAAGAATCACAAAAGAAGTGAATATGCCCTGCCCCACCTTAACTGATGACATTCCACCACAAAAGAAGTGTAAATGGCCGGTCCTTGCCTTAATTGATGACGTTACCTTGTGAAAGTCCTTTTCCTGGCTCATCCTGGCTCAAAAAACACCCCCACTGAGCACCTTGTGACCCCCCACTCCTGCCCACTGAGCACCTTGCGACCCCCACTCCTACCCGCCAGAGAACAAACCCCCTTTGACTGTAATTTTCCTTTACCTACCCAAATCCTATAAAACGGCGCCACCCTTATCTCCCTTCACTGACTCTCTTTTCGGACTCAGCCCGCCTGCACCCAGGTGAAATAAACAGCCATGCTGCTCACATAAAGCCTGTTTGGTGGTCTCTTCACAAGGACGCGCATGAAAATAACTTCTTTTCCTTTGGGTAGATACCTCAGTACTGGAATTTCTGGGTTCAAATTGTAGTTCTACTTTAAATTCTTTAAGGAGCCTCCATACTGTTTTTTATAGTGGTTTTACTAGTTTGCATTCTCACTAGCAGTGTAGAAGTGTTCCCTTTTCACCACATCCATGCCAACATCTATTATTTTTTGATTTTTAAATTATGGCCATTCTTGCAGGAGTAAGGTGGTATCTCACTATGGTTTTAATTTCATTTCCTTGATAATTAGTGATGTTGATAATGTTTTCATATATTTGCTGGCCATTTGTATATCTTCTTTTGAGAATTGTCTAGTCATGACCTTTGCCCACTTTTTGATGGGGTTATTAGTTTTTATCTTGCTTATTTGTTTGAGTTCCTTGTAGATTCTGCATTTTAGTCCTTTGTCTGAGGCATAGTTTGAAAATATTTTCTCCCTCTCTGTGGGTTGTCTTTTTACTCTGCTGATTTTCACTCGTGTCTGTGTGAAGAGACCACCAAACAGGCTTTGTGTGAGCAACAAGGCTGTTTATTTCACCTGGTTGCAGGCGGGCTGAGTCCGAAAAGAGAGTCAGTGAAGGGAGATAGGGGTGGGGCAGTTTTATAGGATTTGGGTAGGTAAATGAAAATTACAGTCAAAGGGGGGTTGTTCCCTGGCAGGCAGGAGTGAGGGTCACAAGGTGCTCAGTAGGGGAGCTTTTGAGCCAGGATGAGCCAGGAGAAGGAATTTCACAAGTTAATGTCATCAGTTAAGGCAGGAACAGGCCACTTTCATTTCTTTTGTGGTGGAATGTCATCAGTTAAGGCAGGAACTGGCCATCTGGGTGTGTACGTGCAGGTCACAGGGGATATGATGGCTTAGCTTGGGCTCAGAGGCCTGACATTCCTGTCTTCTTATATTAATAAGAAAAATAAAACAAAATAATGGTAAAGTGTTGGGAAAATTTTGGGGGATGGTATGGAGAGATAATGGGTGATGTTTCTCAGGGCTGCTTCGAGCGGGATTAGGGGCGGTGTGGGAACCTAGAGTGGGAGAGATTAAGCTGAAGGAAGATTTTGTGGTAAGGAGTGATATTGTGGGACTGTGAGAAGAAACGTTTGTCATTTAGAATTATTGGTGATGGCCTGGATATGGTTTTGTATGAATTGAAAAACTAAATGGAATAAGAGAAGGAGAAAAACAGGTATTAAAGGTCTAAGAATTGGGAGGACCCAGGACATCTGATTAGAGAGTGACTAAGGAGATTCAGCATAGTCCTGCCAGCAAAGATTATTTATTTGCTTCAAGAGTTAAGAGTGGCAGTTTGGGGATAGCACTAGGAGATATCAGCTGTGGTGGCTTGGAGAAACAGTGTAAAACGGCAGTGTAAACAAGAGCAGGGCATGTATGAGGTAGTTGAGAATGGTGAATAGGAGTATGACTAGACAGAAGATAGTAGGGATGACAAGTTTTTTGGGGCACAGTCCAAGTTGGTCTGGTGTCTGAAATGAGACTGGGGCCTAATAAAAAGGAGCATCTATACAAGAGCTTAAATGGGCTGTACCTTGTAGCATTCTGAGGACAGGCCCGAATTCTGAGAAAGGCAAGTGGTAAAAGTATTGTCCAGTCCTTTTTAAGTTGGTGGCTGTGTTTTTAAAAGACTGTTTGTCCGTTCTACTTTTCCTGATGATTGAGGATGGTAAGTGATATAAAGATTTCATTGAATACCAAGAGCCTAAAAAACTGGTTGGGTGATTTGACTAATAAAGGCTGGTCTGCTATCGGACTGTATAGAGGTGGGAAGGCCAAACCGAGGAATTATGTCTGACAGAAGGGAAGAAATGACTGTGGTGGCCTTCTCAGCCCTGTGGGAAAGGCCTCTACCTATCCATTGAAAGTGTCTACTCAGACTAAGAGGTATTTTAATTTCCTGACTTGAGGAATGTGAGTAAAGCCAATTTGCCAGTCCTGGGCAGGGGCAAATCCCCGAGCTTGATGTGTAGGAAAGGAAGGGGGCGTGAGGAATCCCTGAGAAGTAGTAGAATAACAGATGGAACACTGGAAAGTTATTTCCTTGAGGATAGATTTTCACGATGGAAAGGAAATGAGAGGTTCTAAGAGGCAGGCTCGTGGCTTGTGCTATAGCATAGCCTGCCTTTCTGGTGTGTGGCGATTAGGCCTGGTGGAACTGCCATCAATAAACTGAGCGTGATCAGGGTGAGGAACAGGAAAGAAGGAAATATGAGGAAATGGGGTGAATGTCAGGTGGATCAGAGAGATACAGTCATGGGGATCAGGTGTGGTATCAGGAATAATGTGGGAGGCCAGATTGAAGTCCAGGCCAGGAACGATGGTAATTGTGGGAGACTCAACAAAGAGTGAGTACAGCTGAAGGAGCTGGGGAGCAGGAAGTATATGCATCAGGTGTGAGGAAGAAAATAGATTTTGGAAGTTATGAGAACTGTAGAGAGTGAGTTGAGTATAGTTTGTGATTTTAAGGGCCTCTAAAAGTATCAGGGCGTCAGCGGCCACCACACACAGACTTGAGGGCTAGGCAAAAACAGTAAGGTCGAGTTGTTTGGATAAAAAGGCTACAGGGTGCGGTTCCAGTTCTTGTGTAAGAATTCTGACTGCACACCCCTGCACTTTGGCTGTGGGTAACGAAAAGGGTTGGGATGAATCAGGGAGAGCTAGGGTGAGGGCAGTCTCTAAGGCTGTCTTCAAGGAATGGGAAGAGGAGTGGGGAAAGGATTTAGGATCTATGGGGTCAGCTAGATTTCCTTTTGTGAGTTTATATAATGGTTTTGTCAGGATGGCAAAACCAGATATCTAAAGTCGAAAGTATCTAACCATGCCTAGGAAGGAAAGGAGTTGTTGTTTTGTAGAAGGGATTGGGGTTTGGGAGATTAGCCAGACACAATCAGTAGGGAGAGCACATGTGTTTTTTTGAGAATTATGATGAGATAGGTAACAGATGAGGAAGAAATTTGGGCTTGACTGAAGTAATGGGGGCTGCCTGTGAAGACTTGCAGCAGTACAGCCCAGGTAATTTGCTGAGCCTGATGGGTGTCAGGGTCAGTCCAAGTGAAAGTGAAGAGAGGCTGGGATGAAGGGTGCAAAGGAATAGTAAAGAAAGCATGTTTGAGATCTAGAACAGAATAATGGATTGTGGAGGGAGGTATTGAGGATAGGAGAGTATATGGGTTTGGCACCATGGGGCGGATAGGCAAAACAATTCGGTTGATAAGGCGCAGATCTTGAACTAACGTGTGAGCCTTGTCTGGTTTTAGGACAGGTGAAATGGGGAAATTGTAAGGGGAGTTTACAGGCTTTAAAAGGCCATGCTGTAGTAGGTGAGTGATAACAGGCTTTAATCTTTTTAAAGCATGATGTGGGATGGGATATTGGTATTGAGGGGGGGTAAGGGTGATTAGGTTTTAATGAGATTGTAAGGGGTGCATGATCAGTTGCCGAGGAGGGAGTAGAGGTACCTTATACTTGTGGGTTAAGGTGGGGGGATACTAGAGGAGGATGCGAAGGAGGTTTTGACCTGGGGAAAAGGGCAGCAATGAGGTGTGGCTGTAGCTAATAAGGGAACTGGGCAGGTGGGGATAATTAAAAAAGAGTGCATAAAAGAATGTTTTCTAAGTTGGCAACAGAGTTGGGGAGTTTTAAGAGGTTTAGAAGCCTGGCCGTCAATACCCATGACAGTTATGGTGGCAAGGGAAACAGGCCCTTGAAAAGAAGGTAATGTGGAGTGGGTAGCCTCTGTATTGACTAAGAAGGGGATGGACTTACCCTCCACTGTGAGAGTTACCCAGAGCATCTGTGATGGTCCTGTAGGCTTCCGAGGTGATTGGGCAGTGTTCAGTCTTCAGCTGCTAAGCCAAGAAGATCTGGGAAGGAGTCAGAGAGCCTTGGGCCAGAGTTCCAGGGACTCTGGGGGTGGCTGCCAGGTGAGTTGAACAGTCTGATTTTCAGTGGGGTCCTGCACAGATGGGACGTGGCTTACGAGGAATCCTGGGCTGTGGGCATTCCTTGGCCCAGTGGCCAGATTTCTGGCACTTGTAGCAGGCTCCTGGGGGAGGAGGTTCTGGAGGAACCCCTGACAGCTGTGGTTCAGGCATTTGGAGTTCTTATGTGCTGGAGATGTGGCTGGGGTTTGTCTCACAGTGGAGGCAAGGAATTGCAACTCAGAAATACATTGCTACTTGGCTGCCTCTCCTCTATTATTGTACACCTTGAAGGTGAGGTTAAGTCTTGTTGTGGGGTTTGAGGGCTGGAATTTAATTTTTGGAGTTTTATTTAATGTCAGGAGTGGATTGGTTGATAAAATGTATATTCAGAATAAGACTGTCTTTTGACCTTTTAGGGTCTAGGGCCGTAAAGCGTCTCAGGGTTGCTGCTGAACGAGCCATGAACTGGGCTAGGTTTTTCATATTTGATGAAAGAGCCTAAATGCTAACTGATTTGGGAGAGGTCAGATAAAGAAAAAGGAGCACTAACCTTGACTATGCCTTTAGCTTCAGCCACCTTTTTAAGAGGAAATTGCTGGGCAGGTAGGGGAGGGCTAGTCACGGAACGAAACTGTAAGCTGGACCGGGTGTGAGGAGGGGAGGTGATAAAAGGATTATAGGGTTGGGGAGTAGAGGCTGAGGAAGAATTGGGACCTAGCTCGGCCTGGTGAGGAGCAGCCTGGGGAGGAGGGGAGAGGTCAGATGGGTCTGTAGAAAAGGAAGATTAGAAAGACTCAGTAACACTTGGGGTTGGGACTGAGAGAACATGTGGAAGGGGAAAAAGGATAATTTGGGACGAGTCACATTGAGAACAGAGAGTAGGGAGGGACCGATGTGTAAAAGAATGACTGGATGTCAGGCATCTCAGACCGTTTGCCCATTTTAAGACAAGAATTATCTAGATCTTGTAGGATGGAAGAATCAAAAGTGCCATTTTCTGGCCATTTAGAGCCATTGTCAAGTTTGTATTGGGGTCAAGCAGCATTGTAGAAGAAAATAAGGCGTTTAGGTTTTAGGTCAGGTGTGAGTTGAAGAGGTTTTAAGTTCTTGAGAACACAGGCTAAGGGAGAAGAGGGAGGAATGGAGGGTGGAAGGTTACCCATAGTGAAGGAGGCAAGCCCAGAAAAAAGAGAGTAGAGACACGGAGAGAAGGGGTTGGGTGGGGGGTTCTTGCCCTCCAGAGAAGCGGAGAAGGGGTAGAGACATGGAGAGAAGGGGTCGGGGGGTTCTTGTCCCCTAGAAAAGCAGTATTTGCTGCTAAGGTTGAAGGAGAAGGGGTTAGGGGGTTCTTGCCCCACAGAAAAGTGGAAAAGGGGTAGAGACATGGAGAGAAGGGTTCGGGGGGTTCTTGCCCCCTAGAAAAGCGGTACTTGCCACTAAGGATGAAGAAGGGGTTGGGGGGTTCTTGACCCCCAGAAAAGCAGAGAAGGGGTACAGACATGGAGATAAGGGGTTGGGGGGTTCTTGCCCCCCAGAAAAGTGGTATCTGCCACTAAGGGTGAAGGACCAAGGCAGGCATCCCCGTGTGGTCAGGCACCTCTGAAATGTGGGTGAATAATCAGGCAGGCATCCCTGCGTGATTAAACACCAAGGGAAGACTGTCTTCCCAAGTCCGTGACTGGCACCGAAGTTTTGGGTCCACGGATAAAACACATCTCCTTCGTCTCTACCAGAAAAGGAAAGGAACTGAAATTAAGAGAAGGGAAAGATTGAAGTGTGGCACCAAGATTGAAAGGAGGAAGAGGTTGAGAGATAGTGAGAGAGGTCGGAGAAGAGAGTAAAAAGAGGCCACTTACTGGATTTAAAATTGGTGAGATGTTCCTTGGGCTGGTTGGTCTGAGGACCAGAGGTCGTAGGTGGATCTTTCTCATGGAACAAACAGCAGGAGGACAGGGGATTGATCTCACAAGGGAGGTCCCCCAATCCAAGTCACCGCACCAAATTTCACTCGTGTCCATGTGAAGAGACCACCAAACAGTCTTTGTGTGAGCAACAAGGCTATTTATTTCACCTGGGTGCAGGCGGGCTGAGTCCGAAAAGAGAGTCAGCAAAGGGAGATGGGGTGGGGCCATTTTATAGGATTTGGGTAGGTAAACAAAAATTACAGTCAAAGGGGGGTTGTTCTCTGGCGGGCAGGAGTGGGGGTCACAAGGTGCTCAGTAGGGGAGCTTTTGAGCCAGGATGAGCCAGGAGAAGGAATTTCACAAGATAATGTCATCAGTTAAGGCAGAAACAGGCCGTTTTCTTTTCTTTTGTGGTGGAATGTCATCAGTTAAGGCAGGAACTGGCCATCTGGATGTGTATGTGCAGGTCACAGGGGATATGATGGCTTAGTTTGGGCTCAGAGGCCTGACACTGATTATTTCTTTTGCTGTGCAGAAACTTTTTAGTCATGTTCCTTTTATTTATTTTTCTTATTGTTGCATTTGCTTTTGGATTCTTGGTCATGAAATCTTTGCCTGAGCCAATGTCTAGAAGAGTTTTTTCAATGTTCTTATAGTATTTTTATGGCTTCAGGTATTAGATTTAAGTCCTTCATTTATCTTGAGTCAATTTTTGTGTAAGGTAAGAGATGAGTATCCAGTTTCATTCTTCTACATGTGGCTTGCCAATTATCCCAGCACCATTTGTTGAGTAGGGTGTCCTTTACCCATTTTATGTTTTTGTATGCTTTGTCAAATGTCAGTTGGCTGTAAGTATTTGGCTTTATTTCTGGGTTCTCTATTTTGTTCCATTGGTCTACAAGCATATTTTTATACTAGTACAATTTGTTAGTATCATCTGTAATTTCTTTCAGCAGTGTTTTGTAGTTTTTCTTGTAGAGATCTTTCACCTCCTTGGTTAAGTATATTCCTTAATATTTTTTTTTCAGCTGTTGCAAAAAAGACTGAGTTCTTTTCTTTTATTATTTTATTTGAGATGGAATTTTGCTCTGTCACCCAGGCTGGAGTGCAGTGGCACGATCTCAGCTCACTGCTCTGGGATTCAAGCGATTCTCCTGCTTGAGCTGCCAAGTAGCTGGGATTACAGGCTCACACCAACACACCCTGCTAATTTTTGTATTTTAGTAGAGACAGGGTTTCAGCATGTTGGCCAGGCTGGTCTCAAACTCCTGACCTCAAGTGATCCACCTGCCTCAGCCTTCCAAAGTGCTGGGATTACAGGCATAAGCCACTGTGCCTGGCCAGAACTGAGTTCTTGATTTGATTCCCAGCTTGGTCATTGTTAGTATACAGCAGTTGCTCCTGATTTGTGTGCATTGATTTTTGTATCCAGAAACTTTACTGAATTCATTTATCAGATTTAGGAGGTTTTTGCATGGGTCTTTAGTGCTTTCTGGTATATAATTCTGAAGGGGTGGCCTGCCCCTCCACACTTGTGGGCGTTTCTCATCGGATGGGATGAGAGACTTAAGAAAAGAAAGAGACACAGAGACAAAGTATAGAGAAAGAAAAGTGGGCCCAGGGAACTGGCGCTCAGCATATGGAGGACCCGCGCCGGCACCAGTCTCTGAGTTCCTTTAGTATTTATTGATCATTATCGGGCATTTCTTGGAGAGGCGGATGTGGCAGGACAATAGGGTAATAGTGGGGAGAAGGTCATCAGGAAAACATGTGAACAAATGTCTCTGCATCATAAACAAGGTAAAGAAAAAAGTGCTGTGCTTTTGATGTGCATATACATAAACATCTCAATGCCTTAAAGAGCAGTATTGCTGCCAGCATGTCCCACCTCCAGCCCTAAGGCAGTTTTCCCCATCTCAGTAGATGGAATATACAATGGGGTTTTACACTAAGGCATTCCATTGCTCAGGGATGAGCAGGAGACAGATGCCTTCCTCTTATCTCAACTGCAAAGAGGCCTTCCTTCCTCTTTTACTAATCCTCCTCAGCACAGACCCTTTACGGTTGTCAGGCTGGGGGATGGTCAGGTCTTTCCCTTCCCAGGAGGCCATATTCAGACTGTCACATGGGGAGAAACCTTGGACAATACCTGGCTTTCCTAGACAGAGGTCCCTGCGGACTTCCTCAGTGTACTGTGTTTCTGGGTACTTGAGATTAGGGAGTGGTGATGACTCTTAACAAGCATGCTGCTTTCAAGCATTTGTTTAACAAAGCATATCCTGCACAGCCCTTAATCCATTTAACCCTGAGTTGACACAGCACATGTTTCAGGGAGCACAGGGTTGGGGGTAGGGTTACAGATTAACAGCATCTCAAGGCAGAAGAATTTTTCTTAGTACAGAATAAAATGGAGTCTCTTATGTCTACTTCTTTCTACATAGACACAGTAACAGTCGGATTTCTCTTTCTTTTCCCCACACAATTCTATCATCAGTGAAGAGTTACAGTTTGATTTCCTCTTTTCCAATTTGGATGCCCTTATTTCTTTTTCTTGTCTGATTGCTCTGGCCAGGACTTCCAGTACTATGTTGAATAGAAGGGGTGAGAGTGGGCATCTTTGTCTTCTTTCAGCTCTCAAGAGGAATTCTGTCAACTCTTCCCCATTTAGTATGATATTGGCAGTGGGTTTGTCATATATGGCTTGTATTACTTTGAGGTATGTTCCTTCTATGTCAGTTTTGCTGAGGGTTTTATTATAAAGAGATGCTGGATTTTGTCAAATGCATTTTTCTGTTTCTATTGAGATGATCATGTGATTTTTGTTTTTAATTCTCTTTATGTGATGTATCACATTTATTGACCTCTGTATGTTAACCCCTTATTGAGTTTATTTGTATCTTCTCTCTCCTTTTCTTGGTCAGTCTCAGTAATGATCTATCCATTTTGTTTAGCATCTCAAAGAACTAGCTTTCTGTTTCATTTATTTATTTTGTTGTTGTTTTAATTACATTTAGCTCTGTTCTGATATTTGTTATTTATTTTCTTCTGCTGGGTTAAGTTTGGTTTGTTTTTGTTTCTCTAGTTCCTTGAGGTGTGACGTTAGGTTGTCTATTTGTGCTTTTTCAGGTTGTTTAATGTAGACATTTAATGGTATGAACTTTCCTCCTAGCACTGCTTTTGCTATGTCACAGAGGTTTGATAAGTTTTGTCATTATTTTCATTCAGTTCAAAGAATTTTTAAATTTCCATCTTGATTTCATTGTTAACCCAAAGATCAATCAAGGGTAGGTTGTTTAATTTCCATGTATTTGTATAATTTTGAGGGTTTGTTTGGAATTAATTTCCAGTTTTATTTCACTGTGGTCTGAAATGATACTTAATATGATTTTGATTTTCTTAAATTTATTGAGACTTGTTTTGTAGTCTTTCATATGGCCTATCTTGGAGAATGTTCCAGATGGTGGTGAAGAGTGTATATTTCTGCAGTTGTTGAGCAGAATGTTCTATAAATATCTGTTAAGTCCATCTGTTTTAGGGTATAGTTTCCTTTTTTCTTTTCTTTTCTCTTTTTTTTTTTTTTTTTTTTGGAAACAGAGTCTCACTTTGTCACCCAGGCTAGAGTGTACTGGCATGGTCTTGGCTCACTGCAACCTCTGCCTCCCAGGTTCAAGCCATTGTCATGCCTCAGCCTCTCAAGTAGCTGGGACTATAGGTGTGTGCCATCATGCTTGGTTAATTTTTGTATTTTTATTATAGTAGATATGAGGTTTCACCATGTTGGTCAGGCTGGTCTTGAACTCCTGAACTCAAGTGATCCATCTGCCTCAGGCTCCCAAAGTGCTAGGATTACAGGCATGAGCCACAGTGCTCTGCCATTAAGTCCATTGTTTCTTTGTTGACTTTCTTTCTTGATGTCCTGACTAGTGCTGTCAGTGGAGTTCTGAAGTCTCCCACTATTGCTGTGTTGCTGTCTACCTCATTTCTTAGGTCTAGCAGTAATTGTTTTATGAATTTGGGAGCTCCAGTGTTACGTGCATAAATATTTAAGATTGTGTTATTTTCCTGTTCAACTAATAATTTTTATCATTATATAATGCCCTTTTTTGTCTTTTTTTTTTTTTAACTGTTGTCTCTTTAAAGTCTATTTTGTCTGATATAAGAATATCTACTCCTGCTGGCTTTTAGTTTCCATTTGTGTGGGATATCTTTTTCTACCCCTTTACCTTAAGTTTATGTAAGTCCTTATATGTTAGGTAAGACAGCAGATGGTTGGTCGACTTTCTACCCATTCTGCCAATCTGTGTTTTTTAAGTGGAGCATTTAGACTATTTACATTCAACTTTAGTATTGAGATGTGATGTCCTATTCTATTAATCATGTTAATTGTTGCCTAAGTGCCTTGTATTTCTCATTGTGTTATTGTTTTATAGGCCCTGTGAACAGAACCTTTAAGGAGATTCTATTTTGATGTATTTCGAGGTTTTGTTTCAAGATTTAGAACCCCTTTTGCATTTCTTGTAGTACTTGTTTGGTAGTAGTAAATTCTCTCAGCATTCATGTGTCTGAAAAAGACTTTATCTCGCCTTCATTTGTGAATCTTTGTTTTGCTGGATACAAAATCCTTGGCTGACAATTATTTCGTTTATGGAGGCTAAAGATAGGATCCCAGTCTCTTCTGACTTGTAAGGTTTCTGCTGATAAATCAGCTGTTCATCTGACAGATGTTCCTTTATAGGTTATCTAATGCTTTTTCTCAGAGCTCTTAAGATTCTATCCTTTGTCTTGACTTCAGATAATCTGAAGACTATGTGATGAGGCAATGATATTTTTGTAATGAATTTCCAAGGAATTCATTGAGCTTCTTGTATTTGGATGTCTGGGTCTCTAGAAAGGCCAGGGGAGTTTCCCTCAATTTTTCTCTCAAATAGATTTTCCAAACTTTTAAATTTATCTTCTTCTCCAGGAACACCAATTATTCTTAGGTTTGTCCATTTAACATAATCCCAAATTTCTTAGAGGCTTTTTTCATTTAAATGTTTTTTTCTTTGTCTGATTTAGTTCAAAAGCCTTGTCTTTGAGCTCTGAAGTTCTTTCTTCTACTTGTTCTAGTCTATTGTTCAAACTTTCAACTGCATTTCGTATTTCCCTAAGTTTGTCTTTGAATTCCAGAAATTGTGACTGTATTTTTTTAATTACATCTATTTCTCTGGTAAATTTTTCATCCATATTTTTAATTGTTTTTTAGAATTTCTTTAAATTAGTTTTCATCTTTCTCTAGGATGTCCTTGAGTACCTTAATAGTTAAGCTTAACAATCCATTCAACCTTCTGAATTCTTTATCTAGCAATTCAGAGATTTCTTCTTGGTTTGAATTCACTGCTGGAAGCTAGTGTGATCATTTGGGGTGTTATAAAACCCTATTTTGTCATACAACCAGAATTACTTTTCTGATTCCTTCTCATTTCAGTAGATTATTTCTTCAAATTGTTCTTGAATTTATTTTTGGTGGGATTGGTTTTTTTTTTTAATTTAATTTTTTTCCCTCATAGGAACCAGACTTTAATGTTTATATTAGCCTAATTTGATTCTTCATGCTTGTAGGGGTGAAGACTCTGTTACTTAGTTATAGAGAGTCTTTGTGTGTTGGCTTTCTGTGATGCTGGTTGTAGCTGTTATATTCTTGATGTGTAGGTGAGTTCACTGACTGTTATGGAGTTGGAATGGCAGGGATCTCTTGAAGCTCCTCTCATTCTCTCATGGTATTTATTTATTTATTTCCCCAGTCTTTTATTTAGTGAGTTGGTGATTCGGGCCTCAGGTCAATAAAGGAAGTATCCCTGGGTAGGCATCAGTTGTGGCTAAGGCAGGTAGGTAGATGTAATACCCAAAGGTGGGCCAAGGTCTTAGCCTTGGTGAATGTGGCTGGTGGAGCTCTCAATTACATATGGTGATGTTTTATCAGGATGAAGAATGAGAACTACCTCAACTCCCCTACCAGGTCAGTAGGAAAGCTATTCATCTTACAGCCTCATGTCTGTCCTAATGTTTCAGCTATTCAGATTAAACAGGCACCTCTTTTCCTATAGGAATGTTGATGTTCCAAGTAGGGAGAAATTGTGATTCTGCCTCTTGTGCAGGCCTGAATCTGGGGAGTGGTCCTCTTGTGGGGCTGCACTTACCCTGGGTTGTTCCAGAAAGGCTATCTATAGGTGCCTCTATGTCACTTTCCTGTGGAGAAAGCCCCAGCTGTGTCTGCAGTGCAGTACCAGGGAGAAAAATGACCCCTTCTCCAAAGCCCGCCACAATCACAGAAGCTGTCTGCCTGTTAGAATATAGACGCAGAATTTCCCTACTGCATCCAGCATTGCAACGATGTCTCTGCTCCTGCAAAGAGATCCGGAACTCAAGACCTGCTCTTCAGATTCTTTTGTTCCACAGGTGATCCCTTAATGTGATACTCTCCCCCTTCCTTTAGGGATGGGGCTTTCTGAAAGTCTGATTGCAGTGGTTGTTATTGTCTTTTGGTTCTAGCCATCCAGAGGGGCTAGCAGGCATGGGCTGGTGCTGGGGAATGTGTGCACAGTCCAGTGATATGACCATTCTTTAGGTCTCCCAGCCATCGATACCAGCACCTGCTCTGGTGGAGATGTCAAGGGAGGGATGTAGACTCTGTGGGTATCCTTAGTTGTAGATAGGTTTAGTGTGCTGGCTTTCTTGAACGCTGGTTTTGTTAGCAGTGAAGTTTTTACTTGGACAGACTCAGGACCTCTGATTAGCCAGGATGTTGCAGGCAGCAATACTAACTGTTGTTTTCTCCTTCCTGGGAGCAGGGTTATTCTGACATGAGTTGCTGGAATGGCCTGAGTTGGTTAGCCTCCAGCCAGGAGGTGGTGCTTTTAAGAAAGTACTAGCTGTAGTATTAGCAGTGGGATTTGAGCTTGCCCTAAGTTGGTCAGGGGAAGTATTCTGGTTTCCCAGGTGATGGGTGGAGCCATAAAACTCCCAATAGTTTTTGTCTTTTGTGTTGGGAGATTTTCGCCTGTCTCACTGAGTTTTCAGGGCATGCTGTTTTCCTTCAAAGGATCCGTGAATTCCTTCAGTTTTCCTGGTACAGTCCTGCAGTAGTTCTTGGAACAAAAGTTTGCAGTGTGAATTTCTACAAACTGCTCTATCCATCCAAATGGGAGACACATGTTAACCCTGCTTCTTATCTGCCATCTTCTCCAGGAAGTCTACTGTAATTTATATTCTTGGTCTTTTAGAGGGAAGTTTTATATTTTTTCCTTTCTCTTGTTTCTGTCAAGACTTTTGCTTTGTCTTTGATAATTTTCAGTTTAGATGTGATATGTCTAAGTGTAGATATTTTGGAATTTATCATGTTTGCTCTTCTCTGCTTCTTGAATCTGTGGTTTGATATCATTTATTAATTTTGGAAAATCATAGCCATTACTATCTCAAATATTTCTTCTACTCCACTCATATTCTCTTTCTCTCATTGTCTTACTGATGTTCCAATTAGTGCATGTATATTTTCAATTAAACACACATTAAAATTTTTGTAATTGTCCCACCGTTTTTACATATTCTGTTCCCTTGTTTTTATTATTTTTTCTATTTGTATTTAAATTTGGAATGTTTTTATCAAACTATCTTAATGCTCATTGGTTCTCTATTGAGTCATATCCAGTCTTCAGATAAACCTACTAAAAGCATTCTTAATTTCTGTTACCATTTTTTTTTAATTTATAGCCTTTAGTTTTGATTATTTCCTTAGACTCTTCAATTAACTGTTTACAATACCAATATGTTATTTTTTAAGTTTTTTAATTTCATTTTTTATTATATTTTAAGTTCTGGGTTACATATGCAGAACATGCAGGTTTGTTACATAGGTATACACATGCCATGCATACACGTGTGTTTGCTGCACCTATCAACCTGTCATCTACATTGGGTGTTTATCCTAATGCTATCCCTCCCCCAGGACCCCAATCCCCAATAGGCCCCGATGTGTGATGTTCCCCTCCCTGTGTCCATGAGTTCTCATGGTTCAACTCCCACGTGTGAATGAGAACATGCAGTGTTTGATTTTCTGTTCCTGTGTTAGTTTGCTGAGAATGATGGTATCCAGCTTCATCCATGTCCCTGCAAAGGACATGAACTCATCCTTTTTCATGGCTGCATAGCATTCTATGGTGTATGTGTGCCACATTTTCTTTATACAGTCTATCATCATTTGGGTTGGTTCCAAATCTTTGTTATTGTGGATAGTGCTGCAACAAACATATGTGTGCATGTGTTTTTATAGTAGAATGATTTATAATCCTTTGAGTATATACCCAATAATGAGATTGCTGAGTCAAATATTATTTCTGTTTCTAGATCCTTAAGGAATCACCCCACTGTCTTACACAATGGTTGAATGAATTTACACTCCCACCAACAGTGTAAAAGCATTCTTATTTCTCCAAATCCTCTCCAACATCTGTTGTTTCCTGACATTTTAATGATTGCCATTTAAACTGACATAAGATGGTATCTGATTGTGGTTTTAATTTGCATTTCTCTAATGACAGTGATGATGAGCTTTTTTTCATATGTTTTTTGGCCACATGCGTGTCTTCTTTTGAGAAGTGTCTGATCATATCCTTCACCCACTTTTTGATGTTTTTCTTTTTTTATTTTTGTAAATTTGTTTAAGTTCCTTGTAGATTCTGGATATTAGCCCTTTGTAAGATGGACAGATTGTGAAAATTTTCTGCCATTCTGTAGGTTGCCCGTTCACTCTGATGATAGTTTCTTTTTCTGTGCAGAAGCTCTTTAGTTTAATTAGATCCCATTTGTCAATTTTGGCTTTTGTTGCCATTGCATTTGGAGTTTTAGTCATGAAGTCTTTGCCCATGCCTATGTCCTGAATAGTATGGTCTGGGGTTTTTATGGTTTTAGGTCTTACATTTAAGTCTAATCCATATTGAGTTAATTTTTGTATAAGGTGTAAGTAAGGAAGGAGTCCAGTTTCAGTTTTCTGCATATGGCTAGCCAGTTTTCCCAACGCCATTTATTAAATAGAGAATCCTTTCCCCATTGCTTGGTTTTGTCAGGTTTGTCAAAGACCAGATGGTTGTAGATGTGTGGTTTTATTTCTGTTGTGTTACCAATATATTCTTACACTGTCTGCTTTTTTTATTAGAACCCTTAATATATTCATCACGTTATTTTGATTACTCTGATAATTCCAAAATCTGTGTCATTTTTTGAACCTGGTTTGTATGTTTCCTTAGCTCTTCAGGTGTGCTTTTACTTGCCTTTGATGTAACTTGTAACCTTTGCCTAATATATTAGATAATAGGAACTGAGGTAAATATGTCTTTAGTGTGAGGTTATGTGTTAATCTGGCAAGAATTAGAACTGTGTTTAATATTTTGTAAAGCTGTAGGTGTCAGAGGCTTCAAATCTTAATACTGCTTTCTTTTTCCTTCTCTTTTTTTTTTTTTCTGATGTCTTTGAACTTTCCTAAGTCCTTATGTAGAGTCTTTTTCTTTCAGCTCCTTCATCTATTATCCATTGTTATTATACTAGAGTCCTGCTGGTGCAGGGCTAACATGTGGAGAAGAGTGATTGTTTTATAATCTGACTAAAACTCAGATTTGTAGTGAGCCTATGTCCCTGAAACTTGGCCTTCACAAATGTGAAGCTTTTTTCCCTTTCTTTAGGTGAGACCGGAAGGCTAGAGAAGGATGAAGTCTGAGAATACCCTTCTCTCAGGTGGGATAAGACTGTGGTAAATTATTTTCCTCTGGGGAGTAGGCTTGTGTTATGGGGAATGCTCTGGTCATATTTCACAATGATTATTCTTTCCTTTCCCCTCTTAGATCCCTGAGGGATTTCTCTTGGTTCTTCCTCTTGAGAACCTAGTGGGATTCCTTAAGATAAAAACCATAAAAGTGTGCGGCTTCTCCCCACTGCAAGGTTGTATTCCCCAAAGTTCTCACTCTCATCATAGCCCACAATCAGCCTGCAGCACTTTGTCAATTTTGCCATTTGTGTGTTTCTACAGTTTATGTTTTTATTTGCTTCTGATTCCAGCAAGTAAATATTAGCTGTGACTCTCTGTGTTTGCCTGTATTTCCAGATTTTGGGGTGACAGTTCACCCTGTGACTTCAATTCTATCACGAATTCAAAAAAAAAATATTGCTTTTTAGTCTCTTCAGCTTTTTTTCTTGTAAGGATGGGAATAATTACTTTTAGCTCTTTATGCATTGGAGCTGAAACTGGAAATCAGTATATGTGTTTTTGAGGTATAAGAATAGCACATAACTTTTGCAGTTTTCTCTGCAATGAAGTGGAGTTTTAAGCAGATAGTCTAAATTTGGGAAAGAGTGAAAGGATTGGAAAGAGTTGTATGCGTGGCAAAACAACAACAACAACAAAAAAAAATTACGTGGTCTGAAGCAAGGATCCTTGTATTATTTTACTAGAAATTCCTGGCTACTGACTCTCTCTCAATAGTTCTGTGTCTACATTGAATTTCTATGTAATCTAACTGTGTTACTAAAAAAATTCTCAGTAAATATAAATTCCAGAATTAAATCAACAGTAATTAAGAATTGTATTGTTTTGTTACTTTTCTTGGATTAAACACATAGCTGATATTTCTAAAGCATCTACCTTACAAAGATAAACAGTCTGCAATATGTTTTCCTTAGTCATTTTAATTTCATGACTTTGAGTTGCTAAATCAAGGAATAAAGGCTTATTACTGAAAGTGGTACATCAGTGAACATAAAGGGAATAATAAACTGCTGGTTCTAAACTTGGCCTAGTTTTTCTTTGTCCTAAGCAGTCTCTACTCCAATAACATCAGATACTAGAAAGGAACTCATAAGAATAAAAGGCTTGCACTATCTTCATAGTCCATTTTTTGTTGATGACACTCTTCATTTTCACAGATGCAAAAGCAGATTGGGGATTTCCATGGCAGTGTTATAAAGATATTCAAAATCTGCATGTATAGTTAAAATGCTTTGTGGGTCTCTCCAGGACAACAGTAGAGTGATGTTATGCCTAAATTCAAATCTTCTTTAGCAAAGGGTGTGTGGATGTTAAACTGTTTACTAAAGACATGTGTATGTTAAAAACTGAGTGAAGAAATATATAAACCAAAAGATAATCAAGAAGGCACTTAATGAATTTATGCTAAATTTTAGAGTTTATGTTGGAGATACCAATTTAGTTATATGTGGAATGTGAAGACTAGTGTAGATCAAATCTGGAAAATTTGTCCATATAGAATTTCAGTTTAGATATTAGAAAATAAAAGTGTAACCCCATTTAAAGGAATATTCTAAAGATAAATTAAAATATATTAAACACTCAGATATATAGTGTAAGAATAAATTGACTATATTATTGATTATATTGTCTACTTTGGTACATATGATTTGTTTAGCAGCGATTGGGTAATCAAAATTTTTATTCTCATCCTGCTGGCTCCTATTAGACAGAAAAACCTAAGCATGCTTGATATATAGCATTCTGCTATTTAAAGAGTGAGAAGAAATAATAAGCATAAGTAAGTGGGTTTTTATATTTTCAACAATAGTGAAAATATCTGCAATATAGGAGAGTTATCAATTTATGCCCTACTTTGTTATCTCTTGAATTTAGTTCAGTTGATCTAGGAGCATCAGTCAAAATAAAATAAAATAGTATTTTTTTTTTTTTTTGAGACGGAGTCTCACTTTGTCGCCAGGCTAGAGTGCAGTGGTGCGATCTCAGCTCATTGCAATCTCAGCCTCCCGGGTTCAAACGATTCTCCTCCCTCAGCCCCCTGAGTAGCTGGGACTACAGGTGCGCACCACCACGCCCAGCTAATTTTTGTATTTTTAGTAGATATGGAGTTTCACCACATTGGTCAGGATGGTCTCGATCTCTTGACCTCAAGATCCACCTACCTTGGCCTCTCAAAGTGCTGGGGTTACAGAGGTGAGCCACAGCACCTGGCCTTAAAACAGTAGTTTAAATGGTAAAATAAAAAGAAATGGGTCAAGATTTTAGAGGATACATAATTAAAAGTCTAGAAGCATCAAAAAGGGGCTAAGGTCTGTATGAAGGCTGAGGTGGTAGTTTTTTAAAGTACTGATAGTTTTTTATTCCATGAAAGGATACATGGAATAAAAATAGGAAGCAAAGATATTTTTAACATTTAAATATGTGAAAGAACTCTACAATGAAAGAAAAAAATTTTATGATCCAGTGATGCTCTTGAGAATCTTAAAAAGATTGTATAAGTAGGAAGAAAAGCCTTGTGATATAGTTTGGATGTTTTTGTCCCCTCCAAATCTCATGTTGAAATGTGATCTCCAAGGTTAGAGGTGAGCCTAGTAGGAGGTGTTTGGGTAACAAGGGTGCCTTGGTGCTGTCCTCATGGTAATGAGTGAGTTTTCACTCTCTGAGTTCATGTGAGATCTGGTTGTTTAAAAGAGCCTGTCACCTCCCCACTCTCTTGCTCCTTCTTGCCATGTGATATGCCAGCTTCCCTTTTGCCTTCTGCCATAATTGCAGGCTCCCTGAGGCCTCACCAGGAGAAGATGCAGGTACCATGCTTGTACAGCTTGCAGAACCATAAGCCAAATAAATGTATTTTCTTTAAAAATTACCCAGGTCATGTATTTCTTTATAGCAACACAGACTAATACACTTTTCCTTCCTGTGTTGAGTATTAATCCTAGGTCACTATAAATATTTTTGTTGGAGAAGTATATTTTAAACAAATGTTCACCTATATGTCATATTTTCTAGTACAGTTTTCTAAAATTGCATATTTAAACATAGCTTCAATTGCTGTCTTCCCACCCCCATTTTTACAGTTTTGTTAAAGCCTGATCTTAGCAGGGGGTTAATATACAGTCTACATAGCTGCTAAAAGATAGAGTTGCTCAATAAAAGTAACAACAGCAGCTTACTAAAATAAAAACAAAATATCAAAGGAAACTATTTCGTAAGATGTAAAGCTATATTTTCATTTTGCACAAGAGTGTATTTTCTAATTTTCCGTTGGTGCTGAGGAACATGACTTATTTTTTATCTAATATTCATTTACTGATTGTAATGATAGGTGGGGGTCATGTTGAGAGATGGTGGTACTGAGGGGAGATGAGACACTTTACAAAGAACGATGAGGAATTTTGTGAAACTTGGCAAAATAAAAATTCATGGTTCTACACAAATTGTCACTGCATATTTTATACCTTTATTTTCCTACCATGAATGAATGGAACACTCTGATTAATTTCACATTACTTTACATGTTGTAACATTAAGAGAAGAATCACAGAAAATTTGCCTATTGAAAGCACAAGAATAAAATTTTTATCTTGATTATTTTTTAGAGTCTTAAAAGTGGAAGAAGACAGAGATGATAGGTATTGAAGCCAATGCTGCTGATTGGTTCTAACCTTTTCCCAACCTTCTCACACAATGAAGGGTTCTTTGAGAGACAGACTAGAGAGGATTCTTTATAAAGTGTACAAAATGGACTTGTATAAATAGTTCTTTCAAAGCAACAAAAAGGAAAAGTTACAAATTGATGATACCTAATCTTTCAAGCCCTTTAAAATCCTCAGGAGTTTATTTACTGACAACAAAAAGGCTTGACGTTACATATTTTTGTGGATTCTTGTGTCCTCTAAAAATGAAATAGTACATTTTTATGCAGCTAAAATGATGAATTTAACTTTAAAAGTATTTGAATTTTGATGATTTGTATTGATATATTTTCTATGATATTATTTGTAAGTAAAAGATTTCTTCATACTTGTTTGTTGAACAATGTTCAACAGCAGCCTGGTTATGAATGGTATAAAGTTGTTCATCAGTTATTTTATTTCTAAGGCTGTGATGATGATTTGATATCTGGGCTGGATCCTTTACTCATCTATCTGGTTTAAGATATAGTTTCCAAACTTGCAAAAAACTTGTGTAGACCATATGTATTCCATCAGAGAGTTTAAGCGTTTTTGTTTAGCAGCTTCATCAAGGCTTTTAGCATTTTTATGGGTTTTATGTTAACAAACATTTATTGAGTTTCTGTTTTCTGCAATTATTTTTTTCTAGAACTTAGTGCATTAATAAAGAGAGATATAACCTATTTCTTGCCCACACAGATTTTGGAGTCTTGTTAGCAAAACTAAACCACAGTTTATTACACAGTGAATACTATCTACATTTGTGTCCAGATTAGATTTCTGAATATGGATATTAGCATAAGAATGGTTTATTTATATATGTGCTATTCATATTTTTATTTAGAGTCTCAGAAAATTGTATAAATCTCAAAAAATTAAAAAATTATAATATAAAAACTTATCTTACCTAGATGTACCAAATGTAAGATTTTGCTCCTTTTGTTTATTTTATTCTTCTCTCTCTGTCAACCCATTAGTCCCTTCTGAAGCAGGTATGAATAAATTACAGAAAAACAAAATACGTCATATAAATAGTTCTGAATCTGGCTCCTAAAAACACAAGAATTCTTTTGATAACCACAATAATAATTATAACATCAGGGAAATGTAACATTGATACATTATTTTTATCTATTACATAGTTCAAATTATGTAATATTCAAATATCCCTAATTGTCTGAATGCTTTCCTTTTTAACCATTTTTTAAACCCAAGATCTAATAGCAAGTATGCATTGTTTCATTGGCACCTCTATTTTATCTCTTTCAGTCCAGAACAAATCAGCCTTCTATTTGTCTGTATAACATTGACATTTTTATAGAGACCAAAGCAGTTGTTCTGCTTTATGAATCTCAATTCGGATTTTTATGATTATTTCCTCAAGAAAATAAAACATTTTTTAAAAGAATATTTCTTAGATGATGTTGTTATCTTCTCAGTGTGTCACTTTAGAAATGCTATGCACTATTGAAATGCCATATCAGGTGCGAAGTATACAATGGAGCTGTAAGTTCCTGAGCACTGGAAAACTGGAAAGTAGATATATTGAAGGGACATGTTTAATTCAAACCTCAGTATGATCCACATTACTGAATTATTTGGGTATATGCATATTTGGACATATAAGTGATCACTTAATGGAGATCAACAGTGAAAACAACATTGAAATCGCTAAATAGTTGAAATAAACACAAAGGAAAGTGACAGGCACAATGTCACTTTTATAATCTTTTGATTTGGCCTTTATTTTCTCTAATTAAACACATTGAAATGAGGTGGGCTCCAGGCACCACTGACATCTTAATTCTAATATTTTTATAATTACAAATACAAGAGTAAGTCAAGATAGTGAAATAGTGAACACACATGCTTGCTTCCTCTTCCCGGCCTCAACTTCTGGAAATTATAGAAAACATTTAAGTATTTAAAAGGCTCAAACTCATTAACAACCTGGAAAATAGAAAGAAGTGTGTGGATAGGTGAAAGGTGTTGTTATGTGTCTTTGCTGACCAAAAATTACAAATAATTTTAGAAAATAAAGGCTGATGCTCTAATAATATTTTCCATATTTAAAACAATAACAATCAGCACAACCAAAATCAAACCAAACCAAAACAAAACAAAGTACCAAAATCTCTTTGATCCTACAGTCTTCTCCACTTAGTCCATTTTTCAGAGTATAACTTCTCAGAATAGTTGTCTATAATTGCTGTTTCACTTCATAGTCTACCATTCTGTCTCCTTGCCCTACCCAGTCTTTTATCTACAGAATTTCTCTAAAACTATTTTGCTCAAGGTTTTCAGTGACCATCATCAAGTAATGAACTGTCACTTGGCTGTCTTCATTTTATCCAATTTCTCAGCAACGTTTGACAGAGTATAATTTTTTCTACTTCTTGAAATACATTCTTCTTATGTATATGGGGACACCGTGTTTTACAGTGTTCTTCTTTCTTCACTCACAACTCCTTCTTCTCCATTTTGGCACCTTTTCTTTCTGCTCTGGAATCTACCTAATTTCCTCCATCACACAGCTGTGATTCTGCTCCAAGCCATTATCATGACGACTAAGTACTACGACATCCTCTTATGCCCAGCACATCATTTCACTTTTCAATTAAATTCCTCTGAAGACAACCCATGAAACCCAGAATGAATCCAAGCTCCATCAAGAGCTCACAAGGTGTAGCACGCTCCCACTCAAACACTTGATCACCATGCTTCAGATACAAATGGCCTTCCTTTTTTTTCCTAAAAACTCAAACTTCGTTTCTAAATAAGAGCCTTTTTATGAGCTATCTCTTCTGCCCTAAATGTTCTGCTCAAACCTTTTAAAAACCATCTACTCTTTCTTATTCAAGTCTTACCCTATTACTTTGTTGGAAAAGTCTGCACTGACTACTTAATCTAAAGTATGTTTCAAGCTCTGTTCTAAATATGTTGTATATAACATTGCATGTAATAGTCTCAATAGCCCTTTGAAATAGTTAACATTCTTGTTTCTAATTTATATGTAGGGAAACTGAGAATCAGAGGACTGAAATCAGTTCCTCAATATGGTCAGGTTACCACATGGAAATTGGGGCTCTCTTTGAGGCAGATTTCTAAACACTAGCTACTAACTACTCTTAAACTGCCAGTCGTAATTGCTGTCATGCCACCTTGTCTTATTTTCATTGATATCTGCTTGTTTCTTTATTTGTTTCTACTGCTTGTTATGTATTGAGCATAATTTTCGTGACAAATTTCTAGTTTTTTTCAATGTCCTATCTTATCACCTAAAATAATGTCTAGAAAAAAAAAAAAATCCTAAGAAAGGGATTTATAATGGATTAGCAAATTCCATTAGTAGGAGGAAATCCCAATATAAAACATATAAAAGATGACATATAAATTTGGAGAGTTTCAAGTGTGCTGACTGAAAAACAAGGAGTAGTTCTTGGAAAATCTCTGGGCCTATGGTTAAGGAAAGGTGTATAATTGGAGTGCTCACCCCGGCTCGCTCCTCCTTACCTCTCACCTACTTTTTTGGCACAAACATAGTCTAGCTAATACATTACAATGCCTCTCATTACAATGACTGTGAGTATTTGGTCTGGCCACCTATGCAATCTGGTTAAACCAGTTTAATCTGAAATAGAAAAATGACTTTTAAAAATTATAACTTTGAATATAGTATTCCGTATAGGTTGAATGTCTCCTCCAAAACTCATTTTCAGACATAATTCCCAATATGGTACTATGGATAGGTGGGATCTTTAACAGGTGACTGGATCACGAGGGCTCTGCACTCATGAATGAACTAATCCATTAATGGATTAATGGTTTAAAGGGTTAATGGATAGATGGGTTATCATAGGAGAGGAACTGGTGACTTTATAAGAAGAGAGAGACCTGAGCATAGCATATTAGCACACTCAACCCCATTGCCATGTGATACCCAGTGCCCCAGATACTTCAGAATACCCAAAAGAATGAAGGCTGTCACCAGATATGCCCCTTCAGGTTTGGTCTTCTTAGCCTCTGTAGCTGTAAGAAATATTTTTTTTCTTTATAAATTACCCAGTTTTAGGTATTTTTATAAGCATCAGAAAAGGGATTAAGACACATTCTTCAGTTGACCCTTAAACAATATGGGTTTGAATTGCATGGGTCCACTTATGCGTGTATGTTTTGTAATGAAAATTACATCAAATGTGCCTTCCTGTCCTGCTTCTCCTTCCATATCCTCTGCATGGGAATTCAGCATCCCTAACCTCTGCATTCCTTAACGGTCAACTATATATCTTAAATGTGTTTTCATATGCAATTTTATTTAATACTGATAATAACTATAGGAAATAAACGATATTATCCTTGTTTTAAAGATATGAAAATGGAGAATTCCAGAAATTAAATTACTTGATAAGCTTGTTGGTAAATGGTACATCTGGGACTTAGACTTGCCGTCAAATCCTGTGCTTTCAATTCTTAATTACAATGCAGCGGCCCCTCTCGTGACTAATTTCTTATTTACTGTTTTCATCTTGGATGTCTCTTTATGATTCCTTGTTGATAGTTCATAGTCAGCTTTTTATTTGATTTTCTATTTCATTAATAAATTTTGGCTAACTCTTCAGCCACAATGTCTTGTGAAATGAAATTGATCGTATAATGAAATAAATGTAATTGACTTACATTAATGTAGCATTATTTTAGAGAGTAAATTTGTAAGAATATTGAATAATATTGAATAATATAAGAATATTGAATATACAAAAACATTGGATGATATGAGAAAATAAGAAAATACAGATCAGGTCTTTGTTTTTAAAAAGTTACATGATGTAATACTAGGCAATACATTGTCTCAAATTATGCATATTTGGGGAATAAAATAATGAATATTAATTTTCAACATTCCATTTCAACATTCATTTTATTTCCCCAATATGCATATTGCGGAATATTTGCAGAGTAGGTATAAGATTATATCTTTTCATAAAACAGCTATAATTAACAGAATTTTATTCAACGCTAAGGAATTAGACAGACTTTTAAAGTAGAGCTATACATATTACAATTTTGTAGTACAAAAAAATTGGTGATTTTTATTTCCCAGTTTAAATTACAGATTCCCTTTTCTTGAACCACAGATATTGTAGCAGTAAGTGGAATCTACATATTTTTCTATGTGTTATACCTAATGTGAATGTGTCTGTACTACACAGCACTCAGTACCATGTTACAAGCAACATGGTGATAATAGGTGTAGAGGGAAAGTATGGACTTTTAGTTCAGACACACATGAGTTAATTTGAGAACTACTTCTGTCTTTCAAGCTCTCTGACTCTGAGCTAGCATCTTAACCTTGCTGAGCCTGTTTCCGTTTGTAAAATGGGGATCGTAATACCATTGCAAATGATTCCTGTGAGAAATAAATGGTAAAAGTAACATGCACTGTGCTTAGAACAGTAATTGTTCTACAAAAGAAAATCAAGTTAGTCCTCTTTTTCCACCATGAGCAGCATATTGCCATAAACTAGTATGAATTTGCGTGTCAGGAAAGCACTTAATTTATGGGTTAAAACGGGTATTTTCATTTATCTACCTACTTCTTTATCTCTTTCTCACTGTATCATCTATATATTTTTGTAGGAATTAATGTTTCCTTTGTATTAAATTTTAATTGAAATGCTACTATGTAAACCAATACAAATGCTCCTATTGTCAAGTGGGTTTCCTAGAAACAGATTTGGATCTCAGTGTGGGGTGCAGTCTGAAAATCACTGGGCTAAATAAGCTTTTTGGGTCATGTGTCCACCCCAGTGCAACAAAGTTTTACAAGCTAGTTTCTTAGATTTCATCTGCTTGTAGGCACAGCTGACATCACATTTGCAATAATGACTCAAATTGTATTGGCTCAGGTATCCAACTTTTTAATGAACAATTATGGCAACCTTTCCAAATGAATCTTCAGGTATAAATTACATTTGATAATCATGTGAATAATCTATTTTTAAAAGAAGAAACCAATTCAGTTTTATTTCAAATAATATACTAACATTTCCTAGCTACTTTATACATTTCATCTGTTTAAGCAGAAGCATTTAGGACTTCAAGGGGAGAGGAAGATAATGTCTAGAAAAAGATGTCACTGCTTTGGCAAAACCTGAGTTTTTAAGGCTCATGAAGTGAATATAAAAATGTGGAAACACTCAGGTTATGTTTAGTGCCTCATTTCTGTAGTTGTGTCCTCGGGAGACTACAAACCTTCCAGAGAAATGTTGTATTTGTCATGGCTCTGTGTCTCCTATGGCATGGAAGCAATATGGGATCAACTTCTGTGGGTGCGTCTACGTAGGTGCCTCTGGGCAAACTCACACAGTGTCTTAAACTCCTTATCATGGTGTAGTGAAGACAGTCCAAACCCCTGTGTTGTCTTGATGTTTAGGAAGTATAAGAAGTCTAGTTAGGCTGTACACGGTGGCTCACGCCTGTAATCCTAGCACTTTGGGAGGCCAAGGCAGGCGGATCACCTGAGGTTAGGAGTTCAAGACCAGCCTGGCCAACATGGCAAAATTCCGTCTCTACTAAAAATACAAAAAAATTACCTGGGGGTGGTGGTGGGCACCTGTAATCCCAGCTACTCAGGAGGCTGAGGTAGGAGAATCACTAGAACCCTGGGGGAGGTTGCAGTGAGCCATGATCATGCCATTGCATCCAGCCTGGGTGACAGAGTGAGACTCTATCTCAAAAAAAACCAAAAAACAAAAAAAAGAAGTCCAATCAATAAGAAATTTTGACTTTATGCTAGCAGGTCATAGAGTGAGGGTAGCTCCAACTACGCAGAATGGAAAGATCCATGGTTATGAAAACAAGTGGCAGCATATATACAGAACATCAGGTGAACCAAGTTATATACCAGACAATAAAGTACAGAGAGTCAGTGCAGTTCATGGGCCAAGGGAAAGAAAGTTCCTTGCCAGGAGGCCATCGATGAATTCCATATCTCTCCCCTGATTTTGAAATTCACAAAATCCTAAAGGGAAAGATGTTAGCAAGGGGTGAATGTACATGGTTGAAAAGTCTTGCAATACTGTTTTCCTTCACAGTTCCTGAACTTTGGAGGGGAGAGGGACTTGAATTGTTCTGGAAAACCCTTTGACTGTACTGAGTATCTTTGAATAGGATAGAGTAACTTATATGGTGAAAGCAACCAAAGAGCCAAGTTGTGTTTTATTTTAGGAAGTAGAAATAGTTACATTTATTACAAATATCTCAGACAAAGTATAAGTTTTGGTCACATTGTACTCATGAAGACACTTTCTCAGCCTATTGCTTTGCTCATACTGTGGTCTTCCACTAGACATTGCCACCACACAGCAGGAAATCAGTCTCCTACCAGTCACCAATATAGAGCCAAAAGTCACTGCAGTCACTCACTGATATGGTTTGGGTCTGTGTCCCACCCAAATCTCATGTTGAATTGTATCCCTAATTTTGGGGGAGGGATGTGGTGGGAGGTGATTGGATCATGGGGCCGGATATCCTCCTTGCTGTTCTCATGATAATAGGTGAGTTCTCACAAGATATGCTTGTTTAAAAGTGTGTAGCACTTCCCTCTTCACCCTCTTCCTCCTGCTCCTGTCATGTAAGATATGTTGGCTTCCCCTTCACCTTCTGCCATGATTGTAAGTTTTCTGAGGCCTCCTCTGCCATGCCTCCTGTAGAGTCTGCAGAGCTATGAGTCAATTAAACCTCTTTCCTTTATAAGTTACCCAACCTCAGGTAGTTCTTTATAGTAGTGTGAGAATGAACTAATACATTCATTAAGTGAGAATCAACACTAGTATAAAGCTGTTGATCTTTGGTACTGTGGGGAGAGGA
The DNA here is from genome assembly GCF_000001405.40 of Homo sapiens. Taxonomy (NCBI): domain Eukaryota; kingdom Metazoa; phylum Chordata; class Mammalia; order Primates; family Hominidae; genus Homo; species Homo sapiens. The sequence goes on from NC_000012.12 coordinate 73,028,553, forward strand.
AGAATACCTATCCCTCCTTTAGTTTACTTTCAGAAAAAGGGATCTTATAGCAACGTTGTGTTGTTACTGTGCAAAATTTACAGAATGTATTGAAATATTGTGGCTCACACCTGTAATCCCAGCACTTTGGGAGGCCGAAGCAGGTGGATCACCTGATATCAGGAGTTCAAGACCAGGCTGGCCAACATGGCAAAACCCTGTCTCTACTAAAAACACAAAAATTAGCTGGGCTTGAGGGCAGGCACCTGTGATCCCAGCTACTCGGGAGGCTGAGGCAGGAGAATCACTTGAACTTGGGAGGCAGAGGTTGCAGTGAGCCAAGATAGTGGCATTGCACTCCAGCCTGGGCAACAAGAGTGAAACTCTGTCTCAAAAAAAAAAATTGTTCTTTTAAATTTTCTTAACCACAGCCCTCTCATTCTCTCCCCAGGACGAGGAATGAATCCATGCATACACAAGGCTAACCTTAAGATGGCTTTAAGTGATGGCCACCACATTCAAAATTATTATTGGTATTTAATAAGTAAAATTTTCTTGTTGAATATACTTTAGCATTCCTGCCTCTGTCTCCCAGCATGAGTTTCCCCTAGGAGGTCCTTTAGACTTCTAAACCATCTTACAATTTGCTACACTTGGAATCTAGTTTCATTTAAATAAGGACCACAGGTACATCTCCATTGCTGTTGGTGTTTGGAGTTATGTGATGAAAAAGTTATAATGTATGGAGAAAAGTCCTAGATGTGTAATAAGAAAACCCACATATTTCCCATGGTCTTCCATATATGAACAGTATGACATTTGATAAGTCATCTATCTCTCTGAGCTTCAGTGTTTTCATATAAAATGAAGCAATTGTAATGCTCTGTATTCCTTACAGGTTTGATGAGAATAACATGATAAAAATTATATGAACACACTTTGCAAAGTGATATACACGTGAATTTTTTTCTTTTTAATTACTGACCTTAGTTCACAGCATTCCTCATATGTGGTCGCAGTTATCTACCAATGCAAGTAGTTGTTCTTCCAAAGGATTGAAGGAATCTACCACATTTGATTGGGTCCAAAAAAATGTGTATACCTTTAGTGTATAGTTGTCTATAATTGCTGTTTCACTTCCTAGTCTACCATTCACTTTCATAACACAGGTGATGTTTTAATTCTACTTTCTAAATTTTGATATTTCCACTTGTACATATTTCCATAGTTAACTAGGAAAAAAGAAAATATCTTTGTTGTAGCTTAAAACAGGTAATTATTCTAAATATGTTTTCACAGCAATTTGAACATTCATGAGCAATAAGACTGCTGAAATCCAGCTATGCATTATGATAGCTTTTTAGAAGTAATATTACTAGGCAGTATTGTAGTGACTCTTAGTTCTGCTTGGAATACTACATTTGCATGGGGCTTTTCTATTGAAATGGAAGGTGTGCACATTACAATTTTTCCTACATTAAAGAACAGAACATTCTGCCTCGTTTTCATCTCCTTCAAATACCGTCTATGTACTGAGACCCCACTGACTTAAAAAATATAATAATCCATAGGGTACTACATCACATGAACTCCATCAAAATAGGCCTAAATTTGAAAGACATTGCTCAAATTTTTCTCTGTTACTGTGTCTCTCCTGTCATGTTTATTAGTACAGAAAGGATTTTCACATAAATCATGAAATTTTCAACCCTTTCCACAAAAAGGGCAATCTCCCATATTATATCTGTAATCTTGTCAGTCTTATCAACTTCACAGTGGGTTATCTAATTGCTAAACAGGATCAATCTACACCTACCACATGTTGACAACATAGTTGTAAATACACAGGCTCATTTTGCTTACATTCAAAATGTCAAAGTTGTCACTAACAGAGGTGTGGTTGATTGCAGAAAGGGCCACAGTCATTTCTTCCTATATATGCCTTTTTGCTGACTTTGTTGCTTCTCTCACCAAGAGATGGAGTCTCTTTCCCCTCTTCCTATATCTGGACTGGTCTTGGGACTTGGTTTGGCCAATAAAATGCAGCAGATGTTACATGCCATTTCCAAGCCTAGCCCTCAAGAGCCTTGAACATTTCTGTTCACTATCTTGGAACACTACCCAATGCAATGTGAATAAGCTGCGTTGGCATGCTAGAGAGTAAGAGGCTATGTGAAGTAGAGCTGTATTGCCTTAGCCTAGACCTTGCTAGACCAGCCAATTCCAAGTTGACCCATGAGCTGACTGCAGATGCATGAGTGAGCCAAACTAAGATTAGTAGAGCTGTCAAATTAACCTGCCGATTCATGAGCCATATAAATAGTTATTACAAGCCACTGAAATTTGAGGTGTTGTATTATATAGCAATAGACAACTAATATAGAAGGACTCATACTTTATCTATGAAAATATATTTTGATTGTTCAGACACCATGACTGAAATTTAATTTTCTACAATAAATGTATTAAGAAAACTGTTATTAACCTTAATAAAGGTATTAAAACCAAATATCAAGGTATTTGACAAATTCAAGTATGAAGAAATAATAAAAATGGTAATTTACATATTCATTTGAAACTAGTCAAAATCAAAACAGCAATTGAACTAATTTATTTCTGTTTATGAAATAATCATAAGAACATAAGAGGAAGAAGAACACTATGAAAAAGTTAACTAAAAAAATACCTAAAAAGTTGACTTTTTAAAGAAAGCTTACTGTTCTCTGCACAGTAAACTGTTAGGAAACAAGGATACTTTGTACAGGACTTTTCTACCTATACTGTAAAATGTCCACTTGGAACTTTGAGCTTCTTTATTCTGATTAGAATATAAAGTGTCACATCTTACTTCTAACACATGAAACTGCTTTCCACAGTCTAATGTTTATGACATCTTGGTAGGTGACTCAGATGTCCAATGGAAAATTACCCATGATCTATTTAATAAGCATTTCCTCCCACAGTTTGCTGAACACAAAGCTTTGGTTCACAAACCTAGGAGTTTATAAAAGGGCCTGTGAATGAGAATAATTATTAGAGAAAATTGTCTCATTCTCCATGGAATCTGCACTTACCCCTGTCACTCATCCTCATGTGACCATATGTGCACAGATGATGATGTGGTTGATTATAATAGTGTTAGTTGATTGTGATAATAATGTGATACATTCTTACAAGAGAAAGAATGAAAATGGCTGCAAGTGTACACTAATGTAGCCACAGCCATCATGGTTCTCAAATCATGGTGATTTGAGGGAAACAAAAGTTACTAACAATATCTTACATTGTTTTGGAACTTTCTTAACATAGTTCATATCCTGTATAAAGCTAGCTATCTGATAAGCTGATGAAGAGCAATTACATTTACTTACATTCTCATGTGTAAGACCAGAAATTCACTTAAAAAAACCATTATTACCTGAGAGCTACTCCTTAAGAACTTGCACATAATGGCTCATTTGCAATAGCTTCAGGAGAAGGGGGGGTTTCTTGAAACATCTTTTTCCATGGATTATTATGGCTCATTGTGGTCTTTTATTTTTTGTCAGTTGATGGATATCATGAAAGATTGAATTAAGGGACTGACAGAAAAGAACTTCTAAAAATAGCTTTCACCCCTAAAAAGACATCCTGATGTGAAAACAAGATAGGGAGTTTCCAGAATAAAAGGTTCTCAATTTGAGCTATATCTTGATGAAGCAAAATCAACTAACAATACCTAATATGAAGCTGCATCAAAGACTAATGACAATCTCAATACATTCTCATTTAAATTGGGAAAAAATATGACAGGTTCTTAACAGAGAGTGATTTTTTTCCTCCCAGGACATACTTGGAAATATCTGGAGACATTTTTGACTGTCATAGGTTGGGGGTGTTACTGGAATCTACTGGGTAAAAGCCTTAAAATGCACTAAGCACCTTAAAATGCACAGAACAGCTCCCCTACAATAAGGTTTAGTCTAAAATATCAATAGTACTAATAATGAGAAATCTCAACTCAGAGTGTACATTCTTGTTCAGTGCAAATTCTATGCCTTGATTTTAGCATTTGATAAGCTTTCACGTTTTAAAGAGAGAATATTGTGAAGATTTTCTCCCACAGTGTGGGTTGTCTGTTAACTCTGTTAATTATTTCTTTTGTTGTGTAGAAGCTTTTTAGTTTAATTAAGTTTCATGTATTTATCTTTGTTTTTGCTGCATTTGCTTTTGGGTTCTTGGTCATGAAGTCTTTGCCTAAGCCAATGTCTGTAAAGGTTTTTCCAAAGATATCATTTAGAATTTTTATCACTTCATGTCTTAGAGATAGGTCTTTGATATATCTTGAGTTGATTTTTGTATAAGGTTAGGGATGGGGATCCAGTTTCATTCTTCTACAGGTGGCTTGCCATTAGCCTAGCACTATTTGTTGAATAGGGTGTCTTTTTTCCCTACTTTATGTTTTTGTTCACTTTGTTAAAGATCAGTTGGCTTTAAGTATTTGGCTTTATTTTGGAGTTCTGTTCCATTGGTCTATGTGCCTATTTTTATACCAGTACCATGCTGTTTTGATAACTATGGCCTTATAGTATAGTTTGATGTTGGGTAATGTGAAGTCTCCAGTTTTTTTTTTTCTTAGTTCTGCTTTGGCTATGTGAGTTCTTTTTTTGGTTCCATATGAATTTTAGGATTGTTTTTTCTAGTTCTGTGAAGAATGATGCTGGTATTTTGATGGGAATTGCATTGATTTATAGATCACTTTTGGCAATTTGGTCATTTTCATAATACTTATTCTACCCATCTATGAGCATGGGATCTGTTTCCATTTGTCTGTGTTGTCTATGATTTCATTCAGCAGTGTTTTGTAGTTTTCTTTGTAGATGTCTCACTTCCTTGGTTAAGTGTGTTCCTAAGTTTAATTTTTTTATTTTTTTTTTCAGCTTTGTAAAAGGGATTGAATTCTTGATTTGTTTCTCAGTTTGGTCATTGTTGGTGTGTGGCAGAACTATTGATTTCTGTACATTAATTTTGTATCCTGAAACTTTGCTGAATTCAAATATCAGTTCTAGGAGCTTTTTGATTGAGTAATTAGGGTTTTCTAGGCATATGATCATATCATCAGTAACCAGTGACAGTTTGACATCCTCTTTACCAATTTGCATCCCCTTGATTTCTTTCTTTTGTTTAATTGCTCTGGCTAGGACTTCCAGTACCATGTTGAATCAAAGTGGTGAAAGTGGGCATCCTTGCCTTGTTTCAGTTCTCAGGGAAATGCTTTCAACTTTTCCCCATTCAGTATAATGTTGGCTATGGTTTTAAACAACTCAAACAAATCAGCAAGAAAAAAGCAAACAATTCCATCAAAAAGTGGGCTAAGAACATGAATAGAAAATTCTCAAAAGCAGATACACAAATGCCCAACAAATATATGAGAAAATGCTCAACATCACTAATTATCAAGGAAATGCAAATAAAACTACAATGTGATACCACCTCACTCTTGCAAGAATGACCATAATAAAAAAAAAATCAGAAAATAATAGATGTTGGTGAGGATGTGGTGAAAGGGAACCCTTTTATACTGTTGGTGGGAATGTTAGCTAGTACAATCACTATGGAAAACTGTGGAGATTCCTTAAAGAACTAAAAATAGATCTACCATTTGATGAAGAAATCCCACTACTAGGAAATCCCACTACCCAAAGGAAAAAATTCATTATTCAAAAAAGTATATATATATATATATATATATATTCAAAAAAGTATATATACACATGCATATATACCTATATAAATACATATGTATATATCTACATATACATATATACTTATATACGTGTGTGTGTGTGTGTGTGTGTGTGTGTATACATACCCCATGGAATACTACTCAGCCATAAAAAGAAATTAAATAAAAACATTCACAGCAACTTGGATGAGATTGGAGATTGTTATTCTAAGTGAAGTAACTCAGGAATGGAAACCAAATATCATATGTTCTCATTCATAATTGGGAGCTAAGGTATGAGGATGTAAAGGCATAAGAATGATACAATGGACTTTGGGGACTCAGGGGAAAGAGTGGGAGAGGGTGAGGGATAAAAGACCATAATTTGGGTATAGTGTACACTGCTTGGTTGATGGGTGCACCAGAATCTCAGAAATAACTACTAAATAACTTATTCTTGTAACAAAATACTACTGGTTCCCCAAAAACCTATTGAAATAAAACACAAATTTAAATAAATAAAATTATAAAAATATAAATTAAAAAATATAAAATAGAGGTAGTATTATCGTATTAGTCCATTTACATGCCGCTGATAAAGATATAAGCAAGACTGGGAAGAAAAAGAGGTTTAATGGACTTACACATGGCTAGGTACACCTCACAATCATGACAGAAGGCAAGGAGGAACAAGTCACACGTTACATGGATGGCAGCAGGCAAAAAGAGAAAGCTTGTGCAGGGAAACTCCTATTTTTAAAACCATTCGATCTCCTGAGACTTATTCACTATCATGAGAACTGCACGGGAAAGCCCCACCCCCATGATTCAATTACCTCCCACCAGGTTCCTCCCATGACACATGGGAATTGTGGGAGTTACAACTCAAGATGAGATTTCGGTGGGGACACAGCCAAAGCGTATCAATTATATAGTGTTTAAGAATAAGTAGGCTCAGGAATCAACTTTCTGTTATCAAATTGTTTCTACTAATTGTAAAATATATGACTGTGGACAACTTTTTTTTTTGTCTTATCTCTTAGTTTTCTAATCGTCAACATCTGCATAATATTAATGACCACCTCATAGAAGTTATTAAGATAACAAAATAATTTTAAGTTAAATGTATAAATGTACCAGCACATATAGGCACTTGTTAAATAATAGTTGTTATTATTGTATCAGAATAATAAAAGTTGGTGAAAAGTATAGATAATTCTCTAGTGAATGTATTATATTTGAACTTGCTTCTGTATGAAGGTTCATCATGAAAATAATAACTTACCATTATAACAAACAACTGTCCATTTATTTTAAATATCCAATGGTAAATACCACTTGAGTTCATTTTTTTCTAAATAGACTTTCCTTTTTAGAGCAGTTTTAGGTTCATAGCAAAAACCGAGCAGAAGATACAGAGATTAAGCATATATTCTGCTCCCACAATACATGACCTCCCCCAGTATCAACATCCTCCACTAGAGTGGTACATTTGTTACAATTCATGAACCTACATTGTTACATCATTATCACCCAAAGTCCATAGTTTACACGAGGATATACTCTTGGTTTCATACATTCTCTGGGTTTGGATAAATGTATAACGACATGTATCCATCATTATATTATCATACAGAATAGTTTCACTTCCCTAAAAATACTCTGTGCTTCATCTGTTAATTTTTTCCTCCCCTCCACTAATTCCTGGCAACCACTAACATTTTTACTGTCTCCATAGTTTTGCCTCTTGCAGAATGCCATATTGTTAGAATCATATAGTATATTGCCTTTCTTTCACTTAGTAACGTGTTTATATTGCCTCCATTTTTATGGCTTGATAGGTCATTTCTGTTTAGTGTTGAATAATATGCTATTATCTGGATATACTAGTTTATCCATTCAGCTATCAATGGACATCTTAGTTGCTTCAAATTTTTGGCAAGTAAGAATAAAGCTGCTATAAGCATCCATGTGAAGGATTTTTTGTGTGGACCTAAGTTTTCAACATCTTTGGGTAAACACCAAGGGGCCCCATTGCTGGGTTATATGGTAAGAGTAAGCACTGCTGTAATTGCATTTCATAAATGTTGATGAATTGTGTTTTTATTTTCATTTAGTTTAAAATATATTTTTAAAATTGTTTTTAAGAGTTCTTTGACTCATATTTTTTAAAAACGTGTTTGATATCTCCAATTATGTTTAATATTTTCCAGATATTCTGTTATTAATTTCTAATTTAACTCTATTGCTGTCTGAGAGCAGATATTGTATGATTTCTATTCTTTGAAGTTTGTTAAGGTACGTATGTTTTATTGCCCATAATGTAGTCTATCTTGTGAATGTTCCGTGCGAGCTTGAAAAGAATGTGTATTCTGCTTTTGTTGGATGAAGTAGTTTATATACTTTGTTGGATGGAGTAGTTTATATACATCCATTATATCCAGTTATTGATGTGTTGTTGAGTTCGATTTTGTCCTTACCAATTTTCTGTCTACTAGATTTGTTCATTTCTGACAGAGGGATAATGAAGTCTCTAACTGTAATAGTGGCTTTATCACTTTCTTCTTGCAATTCTTCCAGTTTTTGCCTCACATATTTTGACATTCTATTAGTAGGTACATGCAGGTTGAGAATTGTTATGTCTTTTTGGAGGTTTAACCCTTTTATCATCATGTAATATCCCTCTGCATTCTTAATAATTTTTGTTGATCTGATGTCTAACTCTGAAAATAAATACCTATTCCCACTTTCTTTTGATTAGTGTTTACATGGTATAGCTTTCTTCATTTATTTACTTTTTTTCTACATATGTCTTTATATTTAAATAGCTTTCTTGTAGACTACATAGAGTTGGGTCTTGCTTTTAGATAGAATCTGACAATGTTTGTCTTTTAATTTGTATATAGACCATTGATATTTACAGTGATTATTGATATAGTTGGATTAGTATCTACCATATTTGTTTTGGTTTTCTATTTATTGCCCTTGTCTTCATTCCCATTTTTTTCTTTCACACTTTTTTGCTTTTTGTGGATTTAATTGGGGATTTTATGAGATTCTACTCTCTCTCCTTTCTTAGTATGTTCATTGTATTTATATATTTTATGTATTACATGTATATGTGTGTGTGTGTATGTAATATTTATTATGCAGAACATGAGAGGTCACTCCAATTTGGGGGTAGTGGTTTGCCCTGTAACCTCAGTTATCTTGCAGATATAAAAACAGTTGTTAATTTTTCAGTTTGTTCAGCTTTTTACTTATTCTTAGGATGAACTGTCAACTTCATGCTGAACCAGAACTGGAAATTCAAGTTCGGTTTTTAAAATAGTGAAAGTAAAATAGCAAATGAAGAGTGGTATAATCACACCCCCACATAAACCCACACACACATACACATGTGCACACATATGCACACACACACAAAGCTGTTAAACGTATCCTGTTTGGAGCTAAGAGTATAATAATGAAATATGCAATAACGAGTATGTTGGCTTGCTTCAACAAAAATATATTGAGTATCTTCTACTTATAATGCTGGATGCTTTATGGAATAAAGGGAGAATTACTCAGAAACTATCCTCTTGCCATTGCTTGGAAGAGCTCTTGCAAAGGCAGGCTAACTCTCAGCAACTGCGTTTGTGGAACAGAGAGAAATCTGAGCAATCCCAGGGTTGGGAACCTTGATAAGCTGAATGGATGGCCTCTGTAGAAAAATAGGCACCAGAACTGACAGTTGCTTTAATAAAACATGTGCCATATGTGGTATTGGCTTTGAATTCTGGCAGTGGGTGACAAACAATTACAAGGGTCTGGAAGATATGGTGATCCACACATGACAAAGAATTTGATAAAACTATTTCCTATAAAAATGTAGAAGACCTGTGATGTAGCTAGTAAACTTGTAACTTTAAGTGAAATAGTTGTGAAACAAGTTTTACTATCTAGATTGTCTTGGTAGCAATTCACTGCATTTCAAAGAATCTCAATAAATACCTGTTGAATGAATGAATAGATGTCTACCATTACTCTCTAGTTCAAATTTCTAATCTTCTTAATTCGAATTTTTATAGCAACCTCCTATCTAGTCTTCTTAATATTAACTTTAGTTGCACTGCACAATTCCTTTTTGAATCTCTGGAAAAATAATCTACCATAAAAGGCAATTATTGCCTTGCATCTAACACTTTTGGATATATTATATATCATCATTTTTTCAGTTGAATAATTAGGCCTCTGATTACCTTTTCCACTTTCTACTGTTTTCCCATCTATAATTCACCCTTCAGATAGTTCAAACTATTTGCATTTTTACAACTCCTCATCTATAAATGAGAGCTTTTCATCTTTTAAAATTTGATTTGCAAATAACACAAGGTGAAAGGTGTGGATTGTTGTTATGTTAGGTCAACTCCCCAAGTTCCCTTTATTCACCAACCTACATGGCTTAGGAAAATTCTACTGAGAATGTTTCCTGATGGAAATACACATATTGAGTCCCAGACACCACTGGAATTTCCTTGCTGATCTACAGCCACCAGATAAGCTCTCAAAAGTTAACCAGTCTCAGTTTAAACACTAGCTCTCCTCAGTTTTGCCTGAAACATAGTAGCAGCTTAATAAATACTTATAGACTTAAAAATGATGACTTAATTTCTGAATATGAAGATCAAAAGAGGAAACTATTACATCAGTCAGATGTCACAGAAAAAGTATTATTTGAAATGGCTCAAACCTTAATGTACATATGCCATACCTAAGATCTTATTAACATGAATATTTTGATTCAATCGATCTGGAGTGGGCATGAGATAAGTTTCCAATCAGCCTTCAGGTGATGCCAAAGCCCTTAGTCCATGGACCACATTTGGCTTAACAAAGCCTTAACAACTGAATTTCCCAATATAAGAACAGTATTAACCAAGCCACAGGAATAGAAGGTTATTGGTTACTTTTAGCCAATTACAGTAAATTATTTCAATTGGTTACAATTGGTTACAACTGGTTACGGTAAATTATTTCAATTTAGTGGCAACAGGATTTCTAGAGGAGAAATTTATGTTGCAATGTTGTAAAGGTAGATTAAGACCATTTCTGTGGTTTAGATATGGTTTGCCCTCAACAAAACTCGTGTTAAAATTTGATCCCCATTGTGGCAGTATTGGGGGGTGAGGCCTAGTATGACATGTTTAGGTCACAGGTCTGGATCTCTTATGAATAGATTAAAGCCCTTCCTCAGGCGTGAGTGGGTTCCCACTCTTGTGGAAACGGATTTGTTGCTGTAAGAGCAAGAGAGTTGTTAAAAAGAGTCTGGCTTCTTTGGTTTCTCTTTCTTACTACCTCTTTCACCACGTGATCTTTTTGCACACACCACCCCAGACTTCTACATTTGCCAAGAATGGAAGCAGCATGAAGCCCTCATCAGTTGCAGCTGCCCAATCTTTGACTTTCCAGCCACCAGAATCATGAATCAAATAAACCTCTTTTATTTATAAATTACCCAGTCTTAGATATTCTGTTATAGCAACACAAAATAGACCAAGAGAGCTATATTATAGAAGATCTTGAAAGTGACAGTGAGAAATGCATACCTAGTAGAACTCACAGTAACTTTTAAGTTTTGTTTTTTCTTAAACAATGCGTTTGGAGCTATCATGTGTGCACGTGTGTGTGCATGTGTGTGTGTGTGAGAGAGAGAGAGAGAGATAGAGAGGAACAGAGAGAAGAGAGAGGGAGAGAGAGAGAGAAGAGAGAATTCATTTTGGTTTTCTGAACTGTGAAAAAAATTCAAGTGAAAAGCATTTTAGCAAAATATCAAGAGATAGTCAGACATAACCGTGCCTGAGGTATGAGTTGCTGAAATTCATTATTGATGTTTAGTATCACAAGAGTATCTTCAAGTCACTGCAATGCCATATGTGAAGCCAATGCAATACTTCTCCTCACACCTATCTCTCACAAACTTGAATTCAATTAATTACCAGTTTGGCTTAAGTTTGGTTTAGAAAAATATTTTATGCTGTTTTTGTACCTGTTTGGTTGAGACATATTTCGATTTTTATTCTTTCTTAACCTAGTTGGCTGAATTATGAAAGAAACCCCAAACATATTAAAAAAAGCCCAGCACAAAACCTAATTCAGTTAGTGCCTCAATAAACAGTTTTATATTTGCTTTGGTTAGGGTTAAAGAGCTCAACAAATATAACTTTTGGATTTGCTTTTTGGTTAGACACTTGAATGAAAATGCTGGTTGGAACATCCAGAATGTTTTTAAAAGTATCCAAGTACACAATGCTAAAGTCTAAAATCTCTAGACTGAGACTAGTTAACTTTGGGAGTTTATCTAGTGGCTATAGTTCAGCGGGGGGAAATCTCAGTGGTGTCTGTGACTCAATATTATGCCCATCAAGAGACATTCTTAGTAGAATTTGCCTAAGCCATGTAGGTTGGTGAATGAAGGGTTGGCATCATGTAACAAAAATCTACTCCCTCCACACTGTGTGGTTTAGTTGCAAAATAAATCAAATCATTTTTTAATTTTTATTTTATTTTATTTTTTATTATACTTTAAGTTTTAGGGTACGTGTGCACAATGTGCAGGTTAGTTACATATGTATGCATGTGCCATGTTGGTGTGCTGCACCCATTAACTCGTCATTTAACATTAGGTATATCTCCTAATGTTATCCCTCCCCCCTTCCCCCACCCCACAACAGGCCCTGGTGTGTGATGTTCCCCTTCCTGTGTCCACGTGTTCTCATTGTTCAATTCCCACCTATGAGTGAGAACATGCGGTGTTTGGTTTTTTGTCCTTGCGATAGTTTCAGCTGAAGCTAAACTCATCTATTTAATGATTCTCTGAAAATTTCTTCAATGGGAAAACAGAATGTGGAAATCACCTTAGCAAGGTTGTTTGCTATGTTACAGGAAGAAAAAGATTAACAATCTTCATTTTATTGGTTTTATCTGATTCTGAAAGCAGAATCAGGATGTATATAATTGACAAATGCATCAAAACTAGGATGGAATTGGCACAGATAGATTACGCTCCTTTACTTAGTTTCTATACTATAAGCATATCGAACATACAATGTCATCTTAAAGATTTTTGAATACTGCATGCAATCAGCGTAACATGATGTTCATAAAATACCCACTTATTAGATGTTGTGAAATTGCATGAAAACAAATTACCTATCAAATATGCTTTTCTTGGTATTAAGCCCCAAATAATTTTTCCTAACACTTTCTAGGTTCCTAGAAAAAGTCAGTGTGGGAGGGGAAAGAGTGCAGATTTTAGAAGACAGCCTAACTCAGTTCAAAGTCCAGTTTTTCATTCATTTTGTGTATGATCTTGAAAAAATTATTTAAATTCTCTGCACCCTGATTTATTTATCTTTAAAAGAGAAATAATAAAAACATTTTGCAAAGGTTGGCATGGGGGTGGGAAATAAAGTGCATATGGTACCTATCACAGTTTCTGATGCCTAACAGTTTTCAGTAGATATTAACCGTTATTGGGATATAGTCTTCACCCCTTTAGCTTTCACTATGATGAAGTCATCAATTCATCCCGGTAGGACATTACTTAAAAAAATAAAAAGTCATTCCAACCTCCCCTTTCTTCTTGGTTTATTCAAAGACACATGGAACTGACTTTGGGTGGGAAGGTTAAATGCTAAAAAGGGCAATAAGCATTTAAGCATTTGAATCAGGGAGTGTTGTGAAAACTCAGTAGATAAAATAAATCTTGAAGATGATGAATAAAACTGTTTCCTTCTTGCTGGAGATGGGTAAAATATAGCACCTCATGTTTTAAATGCTTTTCTATGGGTAAAACAAAACCAGAAGCAGTAAATATACTACTTAAATTCTACTTCCAAGGTCAGAATAATGATTTTTTTTTAAAGTTTCTGCCACTGAGAAATTTATTTCGGGGGAAAAAATAAGAGTATGGTTCAGAGACCCTTATAAACCTTTCTAAAGATACCAGGATCATCATCTCCCACATATCCTAAATTTTAAGAACATAAAGAAAAATCTCTCCTAAGTAAATGCTTGATGCCTCTTCTAGCTAAGCTACTAGTTTTAGATAAAATTTAAAGTAGAATAGTCATATCTAACATTGCTATAGGATTTCCCCCCATAATCAATAAGCACATGACATTTATGTTTATTTTACATTATCAGAGCATTTTTTATTATTTAAATAATTACAGATTTGTATTTTTTATGTTTTTGCCTTTATGCCATTTTATTTCAGGCTAAGATTTATTCAAGGCTGAATTTTTGGTCAGGAACGCAACAAGCAATTATAACACTACTATTTTATAACTTGTTTTCTAGGAACACATTGTGACAAGAAACATGAAATGGGATTTCCTGAAACACAACAACATAAAGGCAAGCAAACAAATGAAAAGTTTATAAGAAACAAATGCTATGCAGCTTCTATAGAAAATGACAATTTCATATGCAAGGTTATTAAGAGATACACATGCAAATTTGGGCTAGTTTTTGATGCTGTGCCTTTATTTATACTTAGAATTTGATATAATTTTTGGTTCAATTTGTTACAATACTGTCATTAAACCTGAATACTAATTTCTCCACATAAGCAAACTCTAAACATTCAATATTAACATCATGCAACTGAAGTACCTTTATTTTAAATTGTTGACCATACTCTTTCTGATATATAAGTTAGAAGTAAAAAATAAACAAATCAAAACAAAACCAAAAAGGAAACCTGGAAATCTTTAACTTGACAATTGTTGAAACACATGAGAATTTGGAAATATATAACAAAAATAAAGTTCGATTTATTTTTTGTCTGCTAGAGTAATTTCACATTGAACAGAATCAAGATACATTTAGAAAACATCACTCTACTTAACAATCATTTAACTGAAAAAATGCCTGATTTACAGACTGTAATGATGAAATTAACTTGGAAAACATTTCGGTCATGTGAACCTGAAGAGAAGTAGTAGTCATTTTTTTTAGTTTTTTTATTAAGTTAACATGACTTAAAAATCATTGATTTATAAATTTTGCATACTAGAGTGAAAGATAATTTATAATCTAGTCAAATACCAAATATTATGTTGTTCTATATTAAATTACAAAGTAATTATTTAGCTTTTCTAAAACATTTTCGGTGGAAGGTTTACTGCCTCCATTTTTAAACCGATTTTTTGAATGTTTGTCCTAGTATTGAATTGACATTAAACTCTATTACTTATATCTGTTCATCTCATAGAAAACAGAATACTATAAGCATTGTGTACATGAACCTCAAGCTTTTTTTTTTAATTTGTGAATTCTAATTCTGTTTTTGAAGATCACAAAATAAATATTTTGTTTACCATATGACAGGTCTTCACTGGCTCTAATGTGTCCACAATTTTTTTTTCAGGATATACATCCTCGGAAAAGCAAAATATGAATAATTTTATAAGTTTTCATTTTTGGTAGTATAGAATTATTTATGTCACTCTATCTCTATCCCTGAAAACAACTAAAAAAAACAAGGTTAATACGATATTTATAGCAACTTTATTCATAATTACCAAAACTTGGTAGCAACCAAAATGTCTTTCAGTGGGTGAGTGGAAAAATAAATTGTGGTATGTCTAGACAATGGAACGTTATGCAGTGCTGAAAGAAATGAGCTATCAAGCACGAAAACACACAGAGGAAACTTACATGCATATGATTAAGTGAAAGAAGTCAATCTCTAAAGGCAACATACTTTACCATTTTAACTATATGATATTCTGGAAGAGGCAAAATTTTGAAGACAGTAAAAAGATCAGTGGTTTCCAGGAGTTCATGGGGAAGGAGGGATAGATTGGCAGAGAACAGAGGATTTTGAGGGCAATACTCTATATAATACTATTAATATAATGATGGATATATGTCATTATATATTTAATCAAACCCATAGAATATATAACACCCAAAGTAAACCTTAATGTAAAGTATGGACTTTGGGTGATTATCATATGTCAATATAGGCTCATCAATTATAATAAATGTACTAGTTCGGGGATGTTGATAGGGATCTGTCCATGTTTGGAGACAGAGGGTATATGGAAAATGTCTGTACTTTCTGAACAATTTTGCTGGGAACCTTAAACTCCTATAAGAAAATAAGTCTTAAAAAAAGTCACCAGACTGAGAGGAAAGTAAGAAAACTACGGAGATCTAAAACAATGTAAAAATGGGGATTTTAATGCTATTGTTCATAAGCTTCAATTTTGCAGTTGTGGAATCATGATGAGATAGGCTAGAGATAAAGTATATAGGAGCCTCTTATGGAGAGAAGACCCCAGAAAGTGATTTCATTTACTTATTTGTGTATGGGTAAATGAAAAATAAATTTGCCCATCCTTCTTTCCCATGTCCATGCTAGGTGGATAAAAATGAAATTCTTGCAAAGGAGTAACTACAAATCTGCCCCCACAAATCTGTGGCTCATATTATAAAACATGTATAAACAGAAACTCCTTAAGTAGAGAATTTAACTTGAAACTGTTCAAAATGCCTCTAGGTTCTGAAGAATTTAATAAAGACTCTCTAAAAGAATGCAGTTTCAAACTAGCCCTCAAAGAATTCGTGCAGTTGAAATTCCAAAACAAGAGTGCCGGGTCAAAATTTACAAAACACAGAAGAAAACAATGCACTATGAGTAAGAGTCAGAAAAAAAATATATAGCCCTAGTAGACTCAAACCAGTGAAAAACTTTGATTTTGGGGGATAGTCAAACCCAGAATATAAAATAATAATGTTTAATGTGTTTAAAAAATAGAAAATTCACTTGAAAATATAAACAGATAACAGAAGCTTATAAAGATAAAAATCAATATGCAAAGACATTTACTTTTAAATATAAAATATAACAATTAAAAATAAAATATAACAAAAATAAAATACCAATAAATTTGAAACTCCTACAGGAAGAATTAGAGAGGAGAGAGACTTATAACCTTAGCAATCCACTGTAAAAGAAAAGATATCATAGGGGAAAAATATTCTTCGTTATTGAAGATAATATTTTTCACCAAAGGACATGGTGAGAAGGTTTTAGAAGAAGAGGTTTAATGCAGGTTGGGTGAGTGGAGGATATATAGAGCATTGAAAATTGATAGCATTATTGATATAGTCATCAATGACAGATGCTTGGAAAAGCTTTGGGTAGGGCATGATACAGTTTAAAAAAAATAATGTGAACCATGGTAAATTTAGTCTTTGGGAAATTCATTAAATGGACCTAATAAGATTCACCTGGTTCCTGGAACGATGGCCCAACAATGAGAAGGCAATCTCTGATCATTTACCTTAGTGACTCTCAATCCTGGCAATGCAGTAGGAAAACCTGGGGAGCTTTCAAAAACAGAAATGCCTGGGTCCCCTTCCACATGAACTGAATGAATAGCTTTAGGGAAGGTTTCAGGGCTTCCACGTTTTAAAGGCTTTTCCACGTTTTAAACCTTAGAGAAGGTTTCAGGGCTTCCACGTTTTAAACATTAAAGTTTAATGTGCAGCCTGTTTGAGAACCATTGCTTTATGTTATAGTCAGCTGGTGTTGGTAGCTACAGTTAACACAGCAAGTGTTGACAGAATTTATGATGCATGAGCCATGTGCTATTTTACTTGAGTTGGAGGTAAGAATGTGGAGGTGTTCTTTAGTAATTCTAACTCACCTTCCCATGGAAGAGTTTGGGATCTCTTTGGAAATGATATCTTCTCTGGGCTTAGAATTAGTCCCAGAGATACAGTCAGGGACCTTTTCTCAATCCTTTGTACAATAAATTAGGTGCTTAAAAAATCTACTTTGTGATAAATAGTCCAATGTGGGGGAGTTAAAAATGAAAAAGATTTTTGAAATTTTACTTACTGCCTTAGGTTTATAGGATAGACATTTCAGCAAAAGATTTAAGATGACAAGGACAGAATTTTCAGTAAATATGGCATCTCCAGTCTTTTATAGCTCCTCTCCAGGAGAGAATCTCAAGGGTGGCAAGTGGTCAGCTTGTCTAATGTAGATCATATCAGATTGTGGGAAAGCCTGAGTTAGGATTTTCTCAGACTCTTGGAGCCACAGCCATATCACCAGGAAAATCCTGCATAGTTACCTCATAGCTTTTATGGTGAGAGGTAGTTTTCAGACTAATATTTGGGAATTGGTAAAATGTCACTCATGCCAACATTACAATATTACTGTACTAATCTCAGGACATAAGGTAATGACCAGGTATTACACGTATGGAATTACACTTTATCTCTGTAAAAATAACTTCTCAGTGGGTGAAACTGTAATTTATTTACTGAACGATGGCCTGGGTAGGGGGGTACTAAGCATGTCATTAAGGGCATGGTCTAACAAATGTTAAGGACTCCAATGAAATTGGATTTTATATCACACAATTTTTATGCTATTCGCTAAACTTTTCTCAAAGGGATATGTTGTGAACATTGTGTTGTACAGATTTTACGGATTATTAAAAAAATTACTAAGGCAACATTGGGAACCAGCGTGGTTGCAGTCTAGAAACCGAATAAAGAAGTTTCACATACCTATTTTATTTTTAAATCTTAGTTTTAATTCATCTGTCACCTGCATGCATACTTATTTGGCCAATAGCGTTTAATATAGCTCATCATCTATGTATTTATTTGACTTTCTAGTAGTAGCATAGTAAAAGGCTGATCAGATTGCATGAATTCAAATATTGACCCTACCAGTTACTGTCTGTTTACCTTTGGCAAGTAACATATTCTGTACACTTCAGTTTCCTCATCTGTAAAATGTAGAAACTAAATTTGTATATTTCATTGTGTAATTCTGAAAACCGGATGAGATGAAAATGTGTCTTTAAAACTTTCAGTAAATAATAACTCATTTTATTGTAACTGAAATATTTAATACCCCATGTTCAAAGTTAGTATCTTTCTCATACTTCAGTTTTTTCCTAGGTTGACATCAAAATAAAAATGTGGCTTTGATTATTCAACCACCTACATTCAATTGATTGTACTTCCCACCCTGCCACAATCTGCCAGATGAATAACTTTGTAAAACCCAAGCATATAATTTCTACAATATCCCTATTAGTGCCATCTAGGGCTTCTAGATATCCTTAAACTTCCCTAGTTTCCCCCTGTTGGGGAAGACATAAGCCAAATGAGAATTAGCATTTCACCCTTCAACATCAACCTGTGTATTATTTAAAATTATAATAAAACGTTCAAAATTCATTTTTGTGTCATCGATTGCTGTTTTATTTTTTTATAAAATTTTCATATATATTTAAACAAATCCACTTCTTTAAAACATAACTATAATAGCTTTATTAAGATTCTTGTTTAAAACTCTCACAGTATGCTTGGGTTGATATGCAAGAAATGATAGTCTAAACTTGTGTATGAAATACAATAAATTTCAGATTGACTAGTGCTCTGTCTCATGGACATGATTTTCACATTTGATAAATGAAAATTACCATTTTGACCTTCCATCAATAAATAGGAGAAGTATTAGCAATTTTAGGATTTTTTTTTCAATGAATGATGATGGATTTCTCATGATTCATTCATTCCTTTCAGCTGGAAATTATGTAAAAAAAAATGCTTTCATAGTAAATTGTGGTGGTCCATGGTAAAACCAAATTGCCTTCAGTGGGATGAAATTTTGGTTGATTTAGCCCATACTATAAACATTTTGATTTTCAAGTATAATTAAAGAAAGTGAACTGGTTTTCTCAAAAGTCATTTCAATACTTTTTTACTGGAATATAGAAACTGGAGATGCACAATTTACTATTCTCAGTCCCTGGGTAGCTACAGTTACAGATTAGTTTTGGAAAATCAAATACACTCATATAATACTTTGGTTTATACTTGAGTAATGAGAGGAGAAGGAATATTTTTGGGACATGTAAATTTTTGGCAAAGATCATGATGTTGACCCCCTTCGGGCTCTGAACCACTGTGGTATTCCAAAAAGTCATTTTTGGAAGCCTAGCCAAGACAGTTTTTCTTCAGCATTCCTAGCAATTCTACAAACTGTGTTTATTCTCATTACTAAACTTTTTCACTTTTCCAAGAGCGGAATCTCTTGTTCGCAATTCCCTACATCCAAGAATATATCAAAATCCAGGGATATATAAAGATACTGATATTTAGAAAATCTATAAATTAACGAGAACACTAAATACAGTAAGATTTCATTTAAGGTCAAAATAAGTTTCATTACTAATGACCTAGACAGTTCTATTTATTTACATAGATGGCTAATACTTCATTAATCAAATAAGCTGCTTTATTATAAAACATATGTGGAAATCAATTACAGGAATGTTTTCCATACTTACTTGAGAAAAGTAGGTGAACGTTAGTTGTATTAGTCTTAATACCAATTATAACAAATGACAATACTTTTAGTGTGTTATTGGACCTTGGAAATTTCTCATTGCGAAATGATTATTTTTGCTTATGGATATTGTTGGCAAATAAAGTGTATTGATTTATGTTTCCTATTGTAACTGTGCTACTTTAAGGATACTCTACTTGAGAGAGTAACTCTTAGTTACTGGTCTCCTTTCTTTTTCTCTGAAAAGCTTGATGATTCTTCTCATTAGCTGAGTGACAATGATATTAAGAAGACCGGAAAATCTAATGTTGATAGACATTCATAACACTTATATTCTGACATGTGTATAATCACCTTGCTAATCATTACAAGTTTTCTTTCCTATTTCTGTATAAGTTGCATATGTGTGTATATTTATTTTCTTCTGAGTCACCCCAGGGTCAATTGCCTGTTTTTACTTTCCTACAGGGAAGTGTATGTTCACAGCAGAAGTATTATTACAGTTGGACTAAAAAACCTATTGTTAGTGATGTAAAGAAATGGAAGAGAAGGTAAATTTAGTTTAACAGAAAGATGACCATTTCTCTGTGATCAGCATGTTCTTGTTTCTCATTGTGAAATTCAAACAAGTGCATGATGTCCAGAAATTTGTACTGATGTCTGAGGAAATGTGAAGCTCAGAATGTCAAGTACTGCATTTGATTAGCATCCACAATTCAGTTTATTTGATTGGTATTTGTGTATTTTATTCATTTGAACAATTAGAATATTGGCATATACAAACACAAGATCAAAAAGCCACACAAGACCTATTTTGTAAGTAAAAAGTCTAAGAATATTTGTAACCATCCTCTGTATTTCCAGAAATGCCATTACAAACCAACGTCGGTGTTTAGATGTTGGTCCTTTCAGGAAGAAAGGGAGAAAATATAAAGGAAAATCACTTAACAATCTATTTTAGAAATAACAAAAGCTTAGGGTTTGAATGTGTCTTTAAAAGTGGGCCAGGATCAGCAAGGGTTCTCATTTTATCTAAAATAGATTCCTTAAAACGTGAATATTTCAAATGCATCAGAGATTCCATCCTTTTCAAAGTGTCTTCTTATTTAATCAATGTCTAAAAGCCAAGAGATGCTAGAGGAGAGCTCTACAAAGTGCATTCTTAATGACTTTAATTATATTCTCGTCCTATGATTTATATTGATGAATACTTATAAATTCTCCCTTTGTGAAGAAACATTGAACTCAGAAAAATCTTCTGAGTTTTTGTTGTTTTTTCCCTTTGGGCAGATATTAGCAGGTAGACTATAAAAGACTAAAACAGACCTAGTTTAATATAGTCCCATATAGGCTGTTTACATGGGAGGACAAAAAACAGTGTTTTCTTTCAAATGATAAGAATTTTTAACAAGAGAACTAATAAATTTACCTGTTTTAAAAAACTATGTTCCTAGGTAAAAATGAATTTCTTCAGTTATATGTTAAAATGAAAGCGATAAATGATAGTAGCAAGATGTAATAAAGACACTGATATCAATGAATAGGAATTCTCTGATGGATTAAAAATGGTGAATAACACTAGAGCCAAAAAGGAGTTATTATTATCAGTAAATTTTGTTTCACCTGTACTCTGGCCAGGGGTTAATACCCATCTTTTCAGATGAAGCTAACTCAATTCAACATTGCTTCCCTGTTTCCTAGGGAATAGGACAGTGTTAAGTAACCCTGTTAGCTGTGAGTGCCGTCAGTGGGAATAAAAAAATGGTCACTGGGTCATTTTTTTTTTTTTATTTTATAGGAAGGCATAGTTAGAAAATAAAGAATAAAAGAAAAGGAAGCAAAGATGTGAAATGAGAAGTGGTAGAAAGGAAGGAGTGGAAGGTAAAAATATACTAACAGTTAAATACAGTTAAATTTGGGGAATACTAACAGTTAAATTTGGGCCACTTAGATTTTCTAGAGCCAATACTTAAAATCACAAGAATTATTTCTGTCAAATAATTACTATCTTTGATTTTCTAATATGCAGATGGAAGAATGCTATAACACCAGAAGGAAAAAAAAAACAGAATGTAGGATTACATTCTTGCCTTCTAGCAGTTATGTTTTAATTAAGGATGTAGCTATTGTTTGAATGTGTCACCTTCAAAATTCAGGTGTTGAAATTTAATGGTCAATGTGATAGATAATGGCCAAAATGAGGCCTTAAGAGATGACTGGGTTATGAGGGCTCCTCCCTTATGTGGGATTAAGGCTTCACGCAACATTTGGCAATCTTGCACTTCTGCCTTCTGCTGGGTGAAAACATAGCATTCCTTCCTTCAGAGGATGCAACAACAAGATGCCATCTTGGAAACAGACAGCAGCCCTTACCAGACAACCAAACCTGTCAGCACCTTGGTCTTTTACTTCCAAGCCTCCAGACTGAGAGAAAGTACATTTCTGTTTTTCTTTTTTTCTTTTTTTTTTTTAATTATACTTTAAGTTTTAGGGTACATGTGCACAATGTGCAGGTTAGTTACATATGTATACATGTGCCATGTTGGTGTGCTGCACTCATTAACTCGTCATTTAACATTAGGTATATCTCGTAATGCTATCCCTCCCCGCTCCCCCCACCCCACAGCAGGCCCCAGTGTATGATATTCCCCTTCCAGTGTCCATGTGTTCTCATTGTTCAATTCCCACCTATGAGTGAGAACATGCGGTGATTGGTTTTTTGTCCTTGCGATAGCTTGCTGAGAATGATGGTTTCCAGCTTCATCCATGTCCCTACAAAGGACATGAACTCATCATTTTTTATGGCTGCACAGTATTCCATGGTGTATATGTGCCACATTTTCTTAATCCAGTCTATCATTGTTGGACATTTGGGTTGGTTCCAAGTCTTTGCTATTGTGAATAGTGCTGCAGTGAACATAGGTGTGCATGTGTCTTTATAGTAGCATGATTTATAATCCTTTGGGTATATACCCAGTAATGGGATGGCTGGGTCTAGAACTAGAAATGGTATTTCTAGTTCTAGATCCCTGAGGAATCACCACACTGACTTCCACAATGGTTGAACTAGTTTACAGTCCCACCAACAGTGTAAAAGTGTTCCTATTTCTCTACATCCTCTCCAGCACCTGTTGTTTCCTGACTTTTTAATGATCACCATTCTAACTGGTGTGAGATGGTATCTCATTGTGGTTTTGATTTGCATTTCTCTGATGGCCAGTGATGATAAGCATTTTTTCATGTGTCTTTTGGCTGCATAAATGTCTCCTTTTGAGAAGTGTCTGATCATATCCTTTGCCCACTTGTTGATGGGGTTGTTTGTTTTTATCTTGTAAATTTGTTTGAGTTCTTTGTAGATTCTGGATATTAGCCCTTTGTCAGATGAGTGGATTGCAACAATTTTCTCCCATTCTGTAGGTTGCCTGTTCACTCTGATGGTAGTTTCTTTTGCTGTGCAGAAGCTCTTTAGTTTAATTAGATCCCATTTGTCAATTTTGGCTTTTGTTGCCATTGCTTTTGGTGTTTTAGACATGAAGTCCTTGCCCACGCCTATGTCCTGAATGGTATTGCCTAGGTTTTCTTCTAGGGTTTTTATGGTTTTAGGTCTAACATTTAAGTCTTTAATCCATCTTGAATTAACTTTTGTACAAGGTGTAACGAAGGGATCCAGTTTCAGCTTTCTGCATATGGCTAGCCAGTTTTCCCAGCACCATTTATTAAATAGGGAATCCTTTCCCCATTGCTTGTTTTTGTCAGGTTTGTCAAAGATCAGATGGTTGTAGATATGCGGCATTATTTCTGAGGGCTCTGTTCTGTTCCATTGGTCTATATCTCTGTTTTGGTACCAGTACCATGCTGTTTTGGTTACTGTAGCCTTGTAGTATAGTTTGAAGTCAGGTAGTGTGATGCCTCCAGCTTTGTTCTTTTGGCTTAGGATTGACTTGGCAATGTGGGCTCTTTTTTGGTTCCATGTGAACTTTGAAGTAGTTTTTTTCAATTCTGTGAAGAAAGGCATTGGTAGCTTGATGGGGATGGCATTGAATCTATAAATTACCTTGGGCAGTATGGCCATTTTCACGATATTGATTCTTCCTACCCATGAGCATGGAATGTTCTTCCATTTGTTTGTATCCTCTTTTATTTCCTTGAGCAGTGGTTTGTAGTTCTCCTTGAAGAGGTCCTGCACGTCCCTTGTAAGTTGGATTCTTGGTATTTTATTCTCTTTGAAGCAATTGTGAATGGGAGTTCACTCATGATTTTGCTCTCTTTTTGTCTGTTGTTGGTGTATAAGAATGCTTGTGATTTTTGTACATTGATTTTGTATCCTGAGACTGCTGAAGTTGCCCATCTGCTTAAGGAGATTTTGGGCTGAGAAGATGGGGTTTTGTAGATATACAATCATGTCATCTGCAAACAGGGACAATTTGACTTCCTCTTTTCCTAATTGAATACCCTTTATTTCCTTCTCCTGCCTGATTGCCCTGGCCAGAACCTCCAACACTATGTTGAATAGGAGTGGTGAGAGAGGGCATCCCTGTCTTGTGCCAGCTTTCAAAGGGAATGCTTCCAGTTTTTGCCCATTCAGTATGATATTGGCTATGGGTTTGTCATAGATAGCTCTTATCATTTTGAGATACGTCCCATCAATACCTGTTTTTCTATAATTCACTCAGTTGGTGGTATATCTGTTATAGCAGCAAAAATGAAGTAAGAAAAAGTTATTCTAGCTTCTGAAATAGTAGCAGGTTTTGAAACAATATCTATTCAAATTATGACAAATTTGGTTAGATTGAAGATTCTACTTGGAAAATTTTTCAAGTGTATAACTCACATATTTGTATATTACAGCCGTTTTTCCCCAGAAGCAATTCTGATACACCTAAGCATGGCACCATTTGAAGAAAATGATATCTATGTCATTGAAGATTTCTTTGCTAGTTTATTTCAAATCAAAATTAGAAATAAACGACAAAGTAGTCATACTTTTCTCACATTTTTGACCCCATGTTAATTCCCATTCTCTGACTTACATTAAGAGGCATAATTTGAACATTTTTAAAGGGAAATTAAGATACTGCCTTTTTAATATGAATATTATAAATGAATAAGTAGAGAATTATAGATCACTTGGAATGGAGACATTCAACATTTGTAAAATGATTTTATATTTTATGCATTATTTTATATAATTACATTATTTTATATTTTTACATTTTACATTTATATTTTTACATGAAAATATTTTATATTTGTACAAATATTTACATTATTTGAAAATAATCTGTAGTTGCTTATTGGGTTTTTTTTGGGGATTATTTTGTAATGAGAATCTAAATGTGACAGTTACGGAACATCTTAGTTATCAGCACATTTTGGCAGTCTTTTTGGTCATGTTGATTCTGGTCTTAGCTGTGTTTATATTTTAAAGAACAATGGGAAATAGGATGATTGCTCTTATCACAAACAACAGAAGGACACAGAGAGCTGAGCTGTGTGTACAATGACATGTTGTATTAGAGATGTGTCATATTGATTTAATTCAGCTGATCATAAACTAGGTCCTGATAGTTCACATTTGCTATGTGCCTTCTTTTCAGTCTGATAATCTTTTGCTATTTGTGTTTTGCAATTTGAGTCTTTTCCTTTCTTTGTTCTAAATACTCCCAGTCTATTTTCTAAGGTAGAAAATCATACTCATTCTGAATTTTTATCTACTTTAGCTACTTTTTTGTTTCTTAAGATTCAGTATCCATTAATTGTTCCATATCCATATCCTTTTTAGAGAATTATAAGTTCCCTATACGTTCTTAATAGGGACTTTCTATATTCCTATAAATTATTCTCTCATGTTGGAGATTACCTCCACGTGTACTTATTTGCAATGAGGAAGTGCAAAAATTTTACTTTGAAATTCAGTTACCTTCAGGACTTTCAAATTTCTCACCTGGGAAGCTATAAATACAAGGGTCTGGCAATAATTCTCTCCCGTGGCATGCAAATGAGTCCAAGAACTAATTATTATCAACCAAAGCCCCACAGTTTCTATAACTGGAAATTCCGTAATGCACCTTAACAGTTCCTGTGGGAGGAATCTTTTCAGTGTAAAATGTCTGTTGGACACCATTTTGTTGGCAGAGCTGTTCCAAAAGATGGTCTGCACTGTGTCCCTGTCTCATCAGACTGAATGAATGCATAAGGAACATAATACCTGCTATGTCCTCTGTGCCCACGTAATCCGCTCACAGTGATTAGATTAGAGGATGCCACCAAGTGATCCTCTGTTGTTTTCCATCTTATTATAACCCACGATTTCCCAGTCTGGTGTATTCTACTTGGTCTTTATATTTGTACCCCCAAATTTCCAGGAGGTGTTTAGAAAATTTTCTTCTAATTCAATGAGAGAATAAAACTGTTTATTACTATGTGCAGAGGTACGGATAAATGAGATTTTTAGATCAGAGATGTTAGCTGATCATAACTCTGATCATAACTGTCTTTATGTATAGTTCAGTCATCTTGGCATTAACCCACACCTGGAAAATTTGTGTCTTTGCATGCTGTAACAATTCACCTTATTTTGAGCTTAAACAAAGCAATAATCAAATATTTCTTGAAACCAATGGGAAAAGTGAAAATGAACTAATGTTAATTGAGCACCAATTTGTATTGTGTGATTTTACATATATTACTACATTTAATTTCCAAAACAACATAATGAGGTGGGCATTACTATCCTTGGGTTCACACATATTGAGAAGTGATGGGATCGGACTTAAGAATCTCTATCTGACTTACAAAGCTCATAATCTTTTCATTAAAATTTGCTTTCTCTGTGTCAACACAGTAACAGAAATGTTCCTTCGGCCTGGGTTTGAGGAGAAGAATGAGTAGATATCCTTTGATTAGGAGACAATTGCCTTCTGACCTCATCATTACTGGACATATTGTCCTGGTCAGAAAGGCCACTCATCCTAAACTGTCCAAACATGTATCCAGAGGAGTTATCATCCCCTATTTTTACTCCAGTTTTATTCCAACAATGTTTAGTTCTTAGCAATGAGTGATCAATTTTCATGTTTGTTCTAAAAAGCATTAGACAATTGTATTCCAGTTAATTGGGTTATATATAATTATAAGTCAAACAAATTGTGGGCCATCTATTTTGTGTTAAAATCAATATAAATAATATTTTTTGAGCATATTGAAGCTGTATTTAAAAATTATCATAATTCATATGCTATTCTATATAATGATAATTTACATTTATCTTGCATTCATATATGCTTGTAGGATTAGTTTAAAATAATCATCCATAAGATGAACAGATATTCCTCGGATTTGGTAAATATTCAAAATATCTTTGGAATAGCTCCAAGAGGGATTGCCTTCAGTATTTAAAACTATGGCTTATTTTTGGGTGTCTGTTTATATACCTGTCCTGAAAAATAAGCACCTTTATCTTTTTTTTTTTTTTTTGGAAATGGAGTCTCACTCTGTCACCCAGGCTATAGTGCAGTGGCCCAATCTCAGCTCACTGCAACCTCCGCCTCCTGGGTTCAAGCAGTTCTCCTGCCTCAGCCTCCCAAGTAGCTGGGATTATAGGCACCCACCACCAAGCCTGGCTAACTTTTGTATTTTTAGTAGAGCCAAGCTTTCACCATGTTGGCCAGGCTGGTCTCGAACTCCTGACTTCAGGTGATCCACCAGCCTCAGCCTCCCAATGTGCTGGGATTACAGGCGTGAGCCACCGCACCCGGCCAAGCACCTTATTTCTAATCCTCATAAAACCCCACAGGGAGATGTAAATACCCTCTTTTTCTAAATATGAAAACTTTGAGGCTTAGACTATTTAAATATTTTATGTGAGGTCACAAACTAGCAAGTGGCAGAATCTGAAATCAAAAGTAGTGTTGGTTATGAAATTGCATGCAGTAAGCTATCCAAACAGTTCTTATTCATTGGTTCCATCTTTTATCCTGTGCTTCAGTTGGCGTCAGGGACACTGGAATTCTGAGGCCTAGAGTCAGGGATAGAGATACGAGGCTCTGTTGAAATGGATGTCTTAGTTTTATCTATTACAAAACTAGTGATACCTTTTGATTCTTATTTGGTCCCCAGTGTTTGTCTGTAACATGATTGCTTCTAGTGAATGATTAGCATCCATAAAAATCCAAATTGAAAAACCAAGTTTTCTAATTCCAAGCTTCAGCCTTTATTCACTATACTGTGTTGTCTTTGTGAAATTTAATCTCTCTTTTTTACTTTAGGTGACAAATTAATTACTTTTCTTATCAGAACATAATCTAATAGTACCAGAATATGTTGGATAATATAACAGAAACTTATATTCCCACCATTTAGCTTTATCAAATTATAGTTTTTTGCAGGTCACATTTTAAAAAAAAACTAATAGCCAGGCATTGTGGTGCTCACGTATGGTCCCTGCTACTTGAAAGGCTGAGGCGAGAGGATCACTTGAGCTCAGGAATTGAAGACAAGCCTGGGCAACACAGCAAGAACCCCATCTCTAAAACAAACAAACAAAAAATAACAAAAACATTACAGCTCCCTGGGCCCACACCTCCCTTGGATGCTCCCAAGCCCATTCTTCTTATTCTTTCTCAACAATTTCCCACCGTTCTGAACTTCTGGCTTATCTTTCCCATTCATGTTGATGCACTATTACCACATATGTGTAATAAATCTATATATAGTATCATTTTGAATCCTACTGAAAAACATATACACATTTCAATTGTTCAGTTATTTCTGTATAATAAACTACCCCTAAAACTGTGACTTCGAGCCCAACAATACCATTTATTTTGCTAATGAATTTGTGATTTGGGCATATTTGGGTGGGATTAGTTCACCTCTGATCTACTTCTCATCATTTGGGACAGCTCAAGGGCAGGATCACATAAAACAAGGGTCGCTAAACCGCAGGCATTAGACCGGCACCAGTCTGTGGCCTGGTAGGACCTGGGCTGCCCAGCAGGGTGAGCAGCGGGCTAGCGAGCATAACCGCCTGAGCTCCGCCTCCTGTCAGATCAGCAGTGCATTAGAGTCTCATAGGAGTGAGAACCCTGTTGTGAAGGGCACATGGGAGGGATCTAAGTTGCACACTCCTTATGAGAATGCAACTAATGCCTGATCATCTGAGGTGGAACAGATTCATCTTGAAACCCCCGCTCCCCTACCACCTTCTGTCTGTAGAAAAACTGTCTTCCATGAAACTGGTCCCTGGTGCCAAAAATATTGGGGACCCCTGTCTGTCAATGTGAGTTTGTTTAAATGGCCCTTCACATGGGTTTCCTTACAGCATAGTAGTTGGGTTTCAAGAGTGAGCATTCTGAGAGAGAGCCAGCTGGACAATCCGGTTCCTTTTCTAAACTACCTTTAATGTCACACGGTGTCATTTCTGCTACATTCTATTATTTTATTTATTAGAAGCCAGTCTCTAAATCCAGCCTATATTCTAGGGGAGATAGATATGTGTATCAAGAAATTTGTGGATGGTGTTTTGAAATTATGTTTTACAGTAAATATATCCTACTGTGCTTTTTTGTCTATGCTTTTAATTTATGCTTGTTGGTTCCCTTTATAGGGTTATATTATTCCATTATAAATATATCTGACAATATCAGCATAAATTTATGTTTATTATAATATAGGCATACATAGAAAAACAAATATAAATGTGTGTGTATATATACGTGTTAATGTTTATACATATATTTCCCAGCTGTTGGTGGAGAGGGCCCAGAGGTAATGACACTTTAGTAGCAATAGGCATACTAAGTGCCCAGATATTAGCATCCAAATAACATTCTCTGTTATAATGAACCAAGGTTTGTGTTTGTAATTTTTTTAGGAAGAAACATAATTTTAGAGTTGGTGCAGGGAAAATATAAGCTGAACCTGGAGAATCTTCCATGCTGGAATGTAAAGAAGTACTTAAAAACAAAATGCTGGTGGGCATGTAAGAGAGACAGGAGCCAATCTGAAAGAGCTTCTAATGGCCAAAGTGGGAAAAATTTGAGCAAGAATATATAGCATTTATTACATTATAATCTAAAGTAATGATAAATATAACTGTGCCCATACTGATAAGAATAAAGGAATGAATACATAAATAAATGGAGAAGAGACAAATCTTCCTTTCAGTAAATTTCCAAATAATTCATGTAGATACTACTTCCTCCAAGAGGGGCAGCTTAACGCCCCCGTCACACACTTGAATGTGGGCTGGACTTAGTGACTGGTTTCCAAAGGATAGGTTTAAAAAGTTCAAGTAACGGCCAGCGCGGTGGCTCACGCGTGTAATCCCAGCACTTTGGGAGGCCGAGGCAGGCGGATCACAAGGTCAGGAGATTGAGACCATCCTGGCTAACACAGTGAAACCCCCGTCTCTACTAAAAAAAAAAAAAAAAAAAAAAAAAAAAATTAGCCGGGCGTTATGGCAGGAGCCCGTAGTCCCCCCAGCTACTCGGGAGGCTGAGGCAGGAGAATGGCGTGAACCTGGGAGGCGGAGCTTGCAGTGAGCGGAGATCGCGCCGCTGCACTCCAGCCTGGGCGACAGAGCGAGACTTCGTCTCAAAAAAAGAAAAAAAAAAAAAGTTCAAGTAACTGACAATAAAGAAACCTGTCAGACATTACCTTAACCAAGTGATCAAGATCAACAACAAAAGTGATAAGTCACATTGATATGATATGATGTGCTCAGAAGAGCACTTCGCCACTGTGATGTTCTTTCATAAAATCCATTACCCAAGTCTCAACATGAGAAAAAAAAAAATCAGTAAAACTGAAAGTGAGGAACATTCTACAAACTATGTGACCAAATCTCTCCAGAACTTTAGTGCGCACGCGCGCGCGCACACACACACACACACACACACACACACACACCCCAAAAGAAAATACTCTAAGACACTGTTCCAGATCAGAGGAGACTATGATGACTAGATGCAATAAGGGATCCTGGATTGGATCTTGTAACTACAACAAAAAGGCAATGGTGAGAGATTTGGAAAGGTCTTTAAAAAAATCTTTAGTTTCTTTTTGCACAAATACGAACTTCTGCAATGATTATGCAAGATTTGAGTATTGTTGTAAGCTTAGTGAAGGGTATAAAGAAACTCCTTGTACTATTTTTGCAACTTTTTATAAATCTAAAATTATTCCAAATAGACTTATCCCATTCCCACTTTTGCATTCAATACTAGAATAGGGACAGAGAATTTGTCACTTGATTCATAAGTTAATGTACTATGAGTTGCTAGAACAAGCTGACATGATAGAAAGAATAACACATCCCCCAGAGTTTCTAACATTGAACTGCATCTGGTAACTGGATGGGACATTGAGATTGCATTCTCTGAGGAGATAATAAGCGTGTTGTATCTGTGGGAAAAAAAGTAAAGTGTGAAAGGTATTTAGTTGACCAAAATGTTGTATTGTGACAGAATTATCTGAGCAAAGAATATAAAAAGATATGTCCTATGGCAGCTTCTAGGAACTTTCCTCAAGAGACAGTAAATGCAAGACATTTATATTTATTACTGTTTCCTTTCTTCTGTCATCCTTTCTCCTTACTTTTTCCATTTTCTGCTGCCTAAAATGGGAATAGGACAGCTGCTAAGCTATAGAGAAAACGATCACCCCCTAGGAATTGGGGAATGATTATCTGGATCTGGAAGGGACACAGATTTGAATACTTTCTAGGACAGAACTGCCATTCACTGTGGACTGCAAATATCCGTGTCTATATGTGAGAGATATATGAACATTAAAAAAATTATTAAGCCATTGTTCTTTTGGGCTTTCTTATATTTGTAGCCAAACTTAGTGAACAAGATGGCCTTAATACTCCCCTCAGCTTGACTGAAAACTTTAGATGGATTTCTTCCTGACTATAGCCCCCAACCTCCTTTTTCTTCAAGCATTTCTCCTTCAAGATATGATTCTTTTCCCAGATTCTGGCAAGTTTTTCACCTAGCAATGTCTTTCTCAAGGATCTGGGAGCCATGCCTTTGAAATGTAATCATTAAGAAAAACAATTCCTGAGTAGTATGATCATCTTTAATAATAGTATGTCTTCCAATCCAGCAACATTGGATGTCTTTCTATTTATTTATGCCTTTAATTTCTTTCACCTATGGCTTGTAGTTTTAAGTGTACAAGTCTTCCATCTCTTTGGTTTTGTCTACCTCTAAGTAGTTTATTCCTTTAGATGCTATTGTAAAAGGGATTGATTTCTTAATTTATTTTTCAGATGGTTCATTGTTAGTATGTAATTACACAATTTTTATATGTTATGTGTTGATTTTGTATGCTGTACTCATTAATTGGTAATAAAGTTTTTTTGTAGAGCCTTTAGAATTTTCTGCATGTTAGATCATGTTATCTGAAAACAGTTTTACTTCTAACTTCTTAATTTGGATGGCTTTTATTTCTTTTTCTTGCCTTATTGCTCTAACTAGAACTGCCAGTACTATTTAGGATAGAAGTGGCAAGACTGGGTATCCTTTCTTTGTTCCTAATCTTAGAGGGAAAACTGCTTTCAGTTTTTCATCATTAAGTATGATTTTAAGTGTGGGATTTTCTAATCTGGGCTTTACCACATTCAGGTAAACTTCTTTTGTACCTAGTTTGTTGAGAGTTAAATCATGAAAGGGTGTTAAATTTTGTCAAATATCTTCTCTGGATCTACTGAAATAAGAACATGATTTTTATCGTTCAGTTTATTAATATGGTACATCTTGTTAATTGCTTTGTGTGTGTTGAACCATAACCATCGTTATGTCCCAGAGGTAAATGCCACATGGTCATAGTACACTAAATGAAATATAAATATATAGATATATAAATATATAAATAAATATATATTACATATATAAATATATCAATAAATATATATATTACATATATAAATATATAAATAAATATATATATTACATATATAAATATATAAATAAATATATATATATTTCTTTTAGTGTACTGTTTGATTTGGTTTGCCAGTATTTGGATGGTGCTCATTGTATCTATATTTATTAGAGATTTTTTTTCTTGTAGTCTCTCTGGCCTTGGAATCAGGGTAATGCTGTCTTCATAAAATGAGTTTAAATCCCCATCAAAATTCCAATAGCATTTAATATAGAAATAGAAATATATTATCCTAATATTCATATGAAATCACAAAAGACTCTGAATAGACAAAGCTGAGGAAGAGACCTGGTCAAGAGGAACAGACCTGGAGGATTGTGCTTCCTGATTTCAAAATGTATTTTAAAGCTATAATAATTAAAGCAGTGTGCTGCTGGCATAAAAATAGACATATAAACTAATGAGACAGAATAGAGAGCCCAGAAATAAATCCACACATTTATGATCAACTAATATTTTGCAAGGCTTCTAAGAATACACAATAGAGAAAGGACAGTCTCTTCAACAAATGTTGGGAAAACTAAATATTTACAAGTAAAAGAATGAGTATAGTGTATATCTTACACTGTACAAAAATCAACAGAAAGTAGGTTAAGATTTGAAATTAAGGCCTGAAACTGTAAAACTTCTAGAAGAAAACATACCAAAAAAGGGGAAAACCTTTATTACATTGAGCTTGGAAACAATTTTTTGGATATGATAACAAAAGCACAAGAAATAAAAGCAAGAGTAGATATGTGGGACTACATCAAACTGAACAGCTTGTGCACAGCAAAGGAAACAATCAACAGAGTGAAACACCAACCTATAGAATTGGAGAAACTATTTGCAAACCATATTTCTATCTGATAAAGTTTTGATATCCAAAGTAACAAAGAATTCCTACAACTCAATAGCAAAAATAAATAAATAAAAGAAACGCTAACTGCATTAAAAATGGATGAGGGGATATGAATAGATATTTCTCCAAAGAAAACATGCAAATAGCCTAGAAGTATATGAAAAGATGCTCAGCATCACTAATCATCAGAGAAATGTAAGTCATAATCACAATGAGATATCACCTTCAGTAAGTTAATATAACTATTATTTTAAAAAAATAAAAAGATGTGTTAGGAAATGGACCAGTGGGAAAACTTGTGCATGGTTGGGAATGTAAACTGGTGCTGCTACTATTGAAAGCAGTATGATTATTCCTCAAAAAATTGCCTTAGGATTACACCATATGATCCATGAATACCACTTCTGGATATATATCCAAAAGAATTGAAATCAGGGTCTTGAAGAGGTAATCTGCACTCTTATTATCACTGCAGCATAATTTACAATAGCCATGTTATGGAAACAACCTAAATGTCAATCAACAGGTGAATGAAAGAAGGAATATAGTGTATACATAAAACGGAAACTGATTTAGTCTTAAAAGAGAAATCTTGCTATATGTGATGATAAGGATGATCCTGGAGGACATCTTCCTAAATGAAATTATCAGTCACATAATGATCATATCATATCATCATCATAATATCATATATTATATCATCATAATTATCATGATAATAATTATCATTATTATCTCATATAATTCCCCTTATATGAGATATTTAAAATAGCCAATCTTATAGAAATAGAGAGGAGAATGATGGTTGCCAGAGGTGGGAGGAGGTGGTGGCAAGGAGTTGCTTTTCAATGGGTATAAAATGTCAGTTATGGAGTGGAATAAGTTCTAGAAATCTGCTGTACAACATTGTGCCTACAATTAACAATATTGCACACTTAAAAATTCATTAACACCATAGATCTCATGTTAAATATTCTTACCGCAGTAAAAAACAATTTTAAAAAGAAAAGAAAATTCGCACGTCTCCCTTCCTATTTTTATGGAGGTTAGAAGCATAATTTTGGTATCACCAAGTAGCAAGTGTAGATGGCCTAATTACAATGACCACCCTTTCCCTCATGTACTGCAGTCCTTTTCCAGTAGTGTACCCCATCTTTTTATTTCAATAGGGTTTAATTTAATCTCTCTCCACTTATTGCAATGGTCTTCAATAAGACTTGCTTATTTAACCTTGCTTATTTAACTCTGTCCAGTGCAATTTTTTCTTTGACACTAATCCCAATTAATACATCCTCTATGTAAAGAAATATTACTCTCACTGCATGTCATGCTCTTCATTCATTATTTGCACAGTAGCATATCAAATAAGAGACTGAATCATTCTGGAAGGAAAAAAAACAGACTAAAAGTGTTGGAGTGAAAGACCATTTAATAAAAATAATAAAGATTAAAGACAAGAAATAAAATTGATCCAAAAAGATGAATCAACTGTGAGAATTAAGAAAGAAACATATTACAATGACACAGTGAGAATAAATAATTGGTAATTTAATCCCTTCACTTGTTTCTAACTATTGGTCACAAGTGGAAAATTTGTTAATACATTCCTGGTTAACAGATCATCAGAATACTTTATATTATTCTCAAAATTAAAAAGTAATATATTTCTACAGCTGCGTGCTGAAGTTAAACACAAATATTACAAGAGATTAGTGGAATACATATATTTCCAGTAATATAAAACAATAAAATAAATATGGATATTACTTAAAGCTCCTGTGTCTGCCAAGCTTATTTCAGTGGATGCTATTTATGATGGTTGTTTTTATAACCATTACTATAATGCTACTTAATTATAATGGTTATTATGTAAATTTTATGTAAATCAGAGTGATTACTATGGAAATTGAAGGTAAATTTTATGTGTATTCTATTAACAATGCTTTGAATGAGGATGTAGGTTAGTCATGAGAGAATTATTTGAGATTAGCTTTAAAGAATGAAAAAGGAGAGTTTCTAGTGAAGTCTCCAAAAATGTGTATGTACCCAGATAGTAATAAATATAAAGACTTAGGTCATTATATTTCATTTTTTGATTAAAAAATGGGCTGAGTATATTGTTATACTTCCTGTGACTGGATGTTAACTTATAAGTCTAGAAATTTTGAATTCAGGAAATGGAAATTTTACTGTCTTATTTTTATGGGATTGTAATTTCCTATTATTCATGAAAATGCCATGAATTGATTTTGAGTGTGAATTTAAAAATACATACAAATGCCTATGTATGCATATATTCATTTTAGTATATAAATAATTGATAAATGGTATATTATACATGTATTATGCTATATATAAGTTAGTGCTAAGTTATATATTACCCCACAAAACATAAACAATTTTATACCTTCTTTTGACAAAATTCTGCAATTTAATATTTTTCTACAGTAAACTTTTATTTGCATAATCAAAACTATAACATCATATGGTAGAACAGATGGTTAGTAATAATAACTTATTTATAGATAGTATAACAGTTTAGAATAACTATAATTTATGTAATTTCAATAAAAAATTCAATGAGATGATCAATGGTGATTTTTGTTTTTAGCAATCTCTTCAATCTTAAAGCAGAATAGAGACCAAAATTAATGTTCACTCTGTAAGTTTTAATAGATTTTTTAAATAAGTGTGAGCTACAATCATTTCATTTTAATACCAAATTTTTAAAAAAATCTTCACTTTGAGCCTGATGTCTCCTTCATAGAATTAATTAGTTTATGTAGTGCCCAACATTAATTGAATAATCACTTTTCTCCAGAGACATGACTAGGAAATTCGATGGTTTAAAGAAAATTTTTAACTATCTAAAATATTACGTTATATCACATGGAGAGGGAGCTCTCAGCTCTGTTGTGAGAAGGGGAAAAAGGGATGATAAAGAAAAGCTACTAATATTTAAACTAAATTCAAAAATTAATCTGGCTGATCAGAGGAGGAAGGACAGAAAGAAGCATTTGCATTGGATGTAATATATAGTGATCTCTGGGCATTTAAATTAATACAAATTATACTGTTCCCAGGTGTTTTGCAACAGATAAAATAGAACATTTATAAATACATTATTGCTTTCCAGATTATTACACAAATCTAAGAACTATCAGGAGATGCTTTGGGTCCATTCTGAAAGTGCTATTTGGTTCCTACAAGATTATCTGGCTCAGGGTATAAAACTCCATTGTAAATCTTGGGAAATGGAGAAATGCCTTAGTAAAGAGGAACCAATGATAAAACTCAAATTGACCTTCAAAGTGTAATTTCACTCTTTTCATTTAAAAAATTGTTTTATTTTACAGTTGTCAGCAATAATTATAAATATTTCTTTTTATTTCTATTTCTTTTCTTTTATAACACTGTTACTAGCAGAAATTATATCAGTAATAACGCATACATTTTCTAAACACTTACTATGTGCCAGGAATGGCTATGTGCCCCTTAAGATTCTACCCCATTGAGGTAAATACTATCTTAATCTCAATTTTATAGGCAATAAAACCAAATTTAACCAAAGGTTAAATAACTGCCCACAGTTTCACATCTTGTGATAGGGAAAGCGAGGTTATGAAATCATAGCTGGTTTGACTACACAGCCTTTCTTCATAGGCAGTAAGTTTTTCTGTCACTCAGCTCATTTTGAAAGACAGATTGTCAAGTGAAGCGTTGGTATATAAACTGCCTTGGGAATAAGGTTTCATCTCGGTGACTAGGCTACTGAACACATTTT